>NC_000001.11:233002303-233153818 GCF_000001405.40 Homo sapiens
AAAGTCTCAGGATACAAAATCAATGTGCAAAAATCACAAGCATTCATATACACCAATAATAGACAAACAGAGAGCCAAATAATGAGTGAACTCCCATTCACAATTGCTACAAAGAGAATAAAATACCTAGGAATACAACTTACAAGGGATGTGAAGGGCCTCTTCAAGGAGAACTACAAACCACTGCTTAAGGAAATAAGAGAGGACACAAACAAATGGAAAAACATTCCATGCTCATGGATAGGAGAATCAATATTGTGAAAATGGCCATACTGCCCGAAGTAATTTATAGATTCAATGCTATCCCCATCAAGCTACCACTGACTTTCTTCACAGAATTAGAAAAAAATATTTTAATTTCATATGGAACCAGAAAAGAGACTGTATAGCCAATACAATCCTAAGCAAAAAGAACAAAGCTGGAGGCATCACGCTACCTGACTTCAAACTATACTACAAGGCTACAGTAACCAAAACAGCATGGTACTGGTACCAAAACAGATACATAGACCAATGGAACAGAACAGAGGCCTCAGAAATAATGCCACACATTTACAACCATCTGATCTTTGACAAACCTGACAAAAACAAGCAATGGGGAAAGGATTCCCTATTTAATAAATGGTATTGGGAAAACTGGCTAGCCATACGCAGAAAACTGAAACTGGACCCCTTCCTTACACCTTATACAAAAATTAATTCAAGATGGATTAAAGACTTAAATGTTAGACCTAAAACCATAAAAATCTTAGAAGAAAACCTAGGCAATACCATTCAGGACATAGGCATGGGCAAAGACTTCATGACTAAAACAGCAAAAGCAATGGCAACAAAACCCAAAATTGACAAATGGGATCTAATTAAACCAAAGAGCTTCTGCACAGCAAAAGAAACTACCATCAGAGTGAACAGGCAACCTACAGAATGGGAGAAAATTTTTGCAATCTGTCTATCTGACAAAGGGCTAATATCCAGAATCTACAAGGAACTTAAACAAATTTATAAGAAAAAAACAACCCCATCAAAAAGTGAGCAAAGGATATGAACAGATACTTCTCAAAAGAAGACATTTATGCGGCCAACAAACATATGAAAAACAGCTCATCATCACTGGTCATCAGAGAAATGCAAATCAAAACCACAATTAGATACCATCTCACACCAGTTAGAATGGCAATCATTAAAAAGTCAGGAAACAACAGATGCTGGAGAGGATATGGAGAAATACAGACGCTTTTACACTGTTAGTGGGAGTGTAAATTAGTTCAACCATTGTGGAAGACAGTGTGGCGATTCCTCAAGGATCTAGAACCAGAAATACCATTTGACCCAGCAATCCCATTACTGGGTATATACCCAAAGGATTATAAATCATTCCACTATAAAGACACATGCACACGTATGTTTACTGCAGCGCTATTCACAACAGCAAAGACTTGGAACCAACCCAAATGCCCATCAATGATAGACTGGATAAAGAAAATGTGGCATATATACACCATGGAATACTATGAAGCCATAAAAAAGGATGAGTTCATGTCCTTTGCAGGGACATGGATGAAGCTGGAAACCATCATTCTCAACAAAGTAACACAAGAACAGAAAACCAAACACTGCATGTTCTCACTCGTAAGTGGGACCTGAACAACGAGAACACATGAACACAGGGAGGGGAACATCACACACCGGGGCCTGTTGGAGGGTGAGGGGGCTAGAGGAGGGATAGCATTAGGAGAAATAACTAATGTAGATGACGGATTGATGGGTGCAGCAAACCACCATGGTACGTGTATACCTGCACGTTCTGCACATGTATCCCAGAACTTAAAGTATAATTAAAAAAAAAAAGAATTCAATTCCATTGTCTTTCATATTTGGCCAACACTCGATTATATAAAAATTATAGTTCCACACACTTATGTATTTTTTTAAAAAAGAGGGATCTTTCAAGATTATCCGGGTGTTCAGGTTCCTAGGTTTTTCCTGCCGTGCTTCCATTTCCCACACATCACTGAGTGTTGCCAGGATGGAGAACAGGGGTATCACCCAAGGGAAATCTCTCAGAGCCTGGGGCCTTTAAATTTTGGATGAACCTGGGGAGTAGGTTTGGGAAAGCAACTCATCCTACATTCCTAGGAGAGGAAGAACAGTTTCTCCTTTTTTTTTTTTGCTTTGTTTTCTTTCTATAAATATTCTCTATCACGGCCACCTCTTACAACCCTGGTCTCTCACATCCCCAAGAGGTAGTTACGAGGCAAGTACAAGAAACAGCGTCCCTGACAGGGCCGGCCTGGGACAGGATGAACAGGGCATGTGTGTGAAGGGAGTCTCTGAGGACGGCTGCTCCTAAGGATTTAATGAGTTGGCTCACTGAGCAAGGCTTCTGATTCAACACAGCGCATTAGACCTGCACATCAGGGAAATAGTTCCACTGATTGCTATTTTAGCATTTCAACGTGAAATGTACCACTATCATTAATATCTAGGACTCCCTTGAGAAAGAGGCCGCTGAGGCTTCAAGGCTTCAGAGCAGACTGCGGGAAACAGGAACAGCCAGGGGCTGGTCAGGTGGGGTTCGGGGTGCTGTGGCCTAGAGGAGCCTGGAATCTTCCAGAAAAGGATCCAAGAAGCTATCAAAAGCTTTCTGGGGCCGTGAGCTTTAGCAACTGCCTAGGAGGCACCAAGAAGGCTGTTTTACAACAGCAGAGTCAGGCTGCAGGTAGGCTGATGCCGAGAGTGGAGGCTTCGAAACATGAATAATGACCGCTACCTGCTCTCAAAAGAAAACATTTGGAAATGCTCACAGCATCAGATAGGAGCTAAGTGCTAAAATGAGAGAGCTAACTCCTGAAAAATGGGTGGGATTTATTCAGGAAAGGATTCGGAGGGTCATGATACTTGCTCAGAATGGCCTGGCATATGCATAAGAGAAAAAGCTTTCTCCAGATGTAGAGATGGGGATAGTGGAAAAGGAAGATTAACACCCAGACACCCAGAGCAACATCCACAGACAAAAGAGAAGAGCCAGGAATCGCAGGCATCAGCCTAGTGTTTGCCCAGCTGCGTGTGCCCGGCAGCCGTCAAGTGCTCACTCAGCAGCAGGAGAAAGGCAGCCTCCACAGGAGCCTCTCTAAGAGGCTTGAGTTCCATCAAAGGCCACCAACAATGGATATTTTCCCTGTCATTTCTATTTTCAGAGAAAATGAGACATTGTGGTGCTTCATGCTATTCCATTATTGAAATGATTCTCAATGTAGAAAACAAACTCTGAGTTAGAATTCCACTAGATCAGGGAAATTATCCACAGCACCTTAGAGATCAAGGCATCCTAAAAGGAAGGTGTTTCATTACCTGGCTTTTTTCCCCCTGAGAGAATGAAGAGGGGAAGGTGGTGAGCTGTGACAAGCCAAGCGGGGGTGGCGGGCAGCAGAGGTCCGCAGGACACCTGCAGTGCATTTCTGTTTTGGAGCTTCACAGGGCTATGTCTTTTCAAAGCTCTATGGAGAAATGACAGGCTCCCACCCTCAGGCCAACAGCTGGAGCTGGGCTTTTATTACTGGGAAATAGTGTTGCATCTGAGTCATTGAAGGTTGGCCTTCCTGGGGACTAAAACAGCCCCCACTCGCACGCCTGTGGAGGATGTCAGTGAAGCAGGTCATCTTATCATAGTCGGTCAGCTGGGAAGTCAGTGGCGTGGGATTCCACAGGGGCAGAGAGGGCAGGCAGGGCCCTGAAAAAACTCGGCACATGTGTAATCATGTGTTAGGGGAGCAGGTCCACACATAGAAGACCAAAGACTATGGCAATGAGATAACCAGGCACCAGCTTCCATGGCACCATGGAAGTGCTAAATACTGTCATAAATAAAAACAGCATTAGAAAAATGTCACGCTTTCAGATGACGATGAGGAGCTAACACTTGAGGACATTTCCTTTTTAACTGGAAAAAGCTGGAGTGTACTGCGTAGGCTGTAACTGCGCTACTCGGCACAGAATGAACCCATCACTTGCTGTCCTTCTGGTTCCTCACCCACTTCATATGACATAGCTGGTGGCTGTGCATGTAGAGGGGAGGCTGGGGCCTCAGTGCAAAGCACAATTGTTTACAACCTTCCTGGAAATGGCTGTTCTCTGGCTGGAGGCTGGGGCCATTTCCACGATGCCCAGGACAGCCCCCACCACAAAGAACCATACAGCTCAAAATGTCTACAGTGCTGCTGCTGAGAAACCCTGCTTTTTCAGAGAGACAGAGTAGCAGTGGAGGAGAAGGGCTCCAAGTATTGGACAATGGGGTCCTTATCTTAAGTCTTAATGAACCTTGGGATGCAGAGAGAAACAGCTCTAATGTGGGGATAGTTTCTGCAGGACTCACAGGGGGATCTCCAGCACAATGACTGATTTGTTTAGTTAATTTCCAAACAGGCCTGTACATACTATGTTATTTACAGATTAGCATTGTGAAGCGCCTTCTGCTGCCACGCACTGCCATAAATGGAACGCTTGTAGAACATATGTAAACAATTAAGTGTGATTTGCAGGCTGGGTGTCCCATGTTTACTGATTAGTAACAGAAATACTCAGAGTGTGTGTGCCCATCTACCTTAGTCACTGTCCCAGGCTCAGATAGCATCTCCACCTTGGGTACTGCAGCAAGCTCTCTTCATGTGTGCCTTATTCCTCTCTGTGGAACCCAGCAACCATACACTGGTTTCGCAGTCAATCCCATGCTCCTGACCACACTCTCCTGCTGCAATTCCCCAAACAAAAACAATGATCCAAAGGCATGTACAGTCGCACATGCCTGTAGTCTCAGCGACGTGGAAGGCTGATGTGGGGAGTTCAAGGATGTAGTGCATTCTGACAGCACCTGCGAGTAGCCATTGTACTCCAGCTTGGCAACTAGATGACTAGCACCATCTCTGAGCAACTAAAAGTGAAACAGAAGGAGACACCTTCCATTTGTATGGTGACTTGTGGGTCACTAAGCGCTTTCCATTCCATAGGCTCCTCTCATTCTCACGGATGCATGATGTAATTATTACAACCCTTTCATATGAGAAGAAACAGGCCAGAAAAAGTGGAGAAAGAGAGTAAGATGGGTGGGAGCAAATACTCAGAATCTGATGTCACACTGAAGAAGCACAGGAGAAAACCCACAGCTGCTTCCAGGCCACCTACCTCTCTAGCAAACATGGAGTTGCTTTTATAATGTGTAACTGGAGTCATCTTCTTCTTTTTTTATTTATTTTTTTGAGACGGAGTCTCTCTCTGTTGCCCAGGCTGGAGTGCCGTGGCGTGATCTCAACTCACTGCAACCTCCACCTCCCAGGTTCAAATGATTCTCGCACCTCAGCCTCCCGAGTAGCTGGGATTACAGGCACCTGCCACCATGCCCGGCTAATTTTTTTGTATTTTTAGTAGAGACGGGGTTTCACCATGTTGGCCAGGCTAGTCTTGAAATCCTGACCTCAAGAGATCCACCCACCTCAGCCTCCCTGAGCAGTTGGGATTACAGGCACCTGCCACCATGCCCGGCTATTTTTTTTTGTATTTTTAGTAGAGACAGGGTTTCACCACATTGGCCAGGCTAGTCTCGAACTCCTGACCTCAAGAGATCCACCCACCTCAGCCTCCCAAAGTGCTGAGATTACAGGCGTGAGCCACCGTGCCCAGCCCTGAGTCATCTTCTTAAAGGCCTTCTCAGCTGTGTGAGAATGAACTCATCCCTTTAAAGGCTTCAGTTGAGCCACAATACTGAAAGCACTGTGAGTATAATTCTTGAACTCACCCCCATCTCACCCTCCTAATTGGTATGTATACCCTGCACAGACCCTGAATTGAGAGTGTATTAATACTGCTTTCATGAACTCTTTATCCAAGAAGTTACTCCATTGGCTCTAAAATCAAGACAACCTTTGGTTGGGATCCCAGCTCTCTCCTACCTGGTAAAGAACATTCAGAAAGAACACTCGGTAAAGAACACGTGATGTCCCCCAAATAGCTCCAAGGTGCTTCACTTCCTCTAGAGTTCGGGTGCTACACTGAGAAGCGGCATATGGACCTACAGGGTTGGAGGGATGGGAGCCAGGAGCTCCAAACTGAAGCTTAAATCTTGGTTCTGATACTTGTCTCTTGCCCTCATTGTCATCAATTTCTTTCTGTGTTCACTCATAAGATCAATTACTGCCAGGCATATTTAGAGGCTTGGTGAGGGTCTTGCTAGGAATTTCTTTCCATGGGGGACCCAGTGCACAAGTGGGGTCTGCAGACAATGGGTGCCTGTTGGTGAGGGGGTGGGACAATTCCAAATACACCCCAGTGTCCAGTGTTCACCTTGTCCTATGGGATCAAAGCCTGTGTCTTCAATGACACAGTGGATGTGTCCAAGTAAGCTGGGCACGGAGGGTGCACAGTGGCAGCAACTCCTATCGGAAAAGCACTGGGCTGGCAGGAAAGGGCAAGATGCCATCCCAGGGTTGAAGCATCCCTGAGGTCAGGCCACCCAGAGCATCAGAGCCATGATGCCTGTAGCAGGTGCTGTCAGCAGCTCTCAGCATCACAACCTAGCACAGGACAGGTCCACAAGGAAGCGTGCATAGGTGAGAAGGTGGATGCCCTGGAGCAGCTGGGCCACCCCAGGGAAGTGTCCATGCAGAGCTGGGGGGAGTGTGGTGCGTTCCTGCACAGCAGATGGAGATTAACTGCTGGGAGATGTTGTGGACAGCGGGACAGTGTGGCCAGTAGGAGCAAGGACTCTGGAGTCTGGGCATGACTCTATGGTGAGACTCGCACAAATCACTTCTCTGTGTTTCAGAAATCCCAGCTGCAAAATCGAGCCAATAATACCTATCTCATCATCTCTCATGCCTTCAGAGAAGACGAAATGCATTAACTCTCCTAACTTGCATTAGCACTCTGCCCAGTACCTAGTGGGCACCGCTGTAAGTGTTCACTGATACTGTTATTGTTATTTTCACCCCTGAACTAGTATATTTCAGCAATTAATATCCAGGCCACCTTGGCTTCAGATATAAACTAAGCACATTTGAATTGCAGAATCTCATATAATCACTGGAAATAAATTATGTTGGCTAAAGGATTTCAGTGATATTGGTGATATTGCTTCAAATAAATCATAAGTGTGAAATAATAATTAACAAAATAGAAATAACTAAAATGCAAAATTTAATTAAAAATATATTTGTAAAGTAGTTTGACCTCATGATGTTTTAACAGCAATAGTTCTCTGCTCGGAGGCTCCACATCAAGCGGATCAACTACTATTGTCTGGTGCAAAATCCTTCATAAGCCCGGCCTGATGACCAGGGTTGGGCTGGCTGTAGAAGAATTAATCACTCAGCAGCTTGTTGAAAATCACAGATTTCCAAATCCAAGATCTAGAGAGTCCATGTCACTGGTTTGCGATGGAGCTTGGGGTCTGTATTCTGATCAAGCTCCCTCTGTGATTCTGAGGTTTGGACTCATGGGACCAGAGAACCTGGGGTCTCCTAAAGATGGCAAGACATTTCAGAGAAGCAGGGAGCTGGAACCTGGAGGAGAGCCCATACGCCAGGCCCAGGTGGGAGGGGCTTTGCCACACTGCATTAGAATTTAAGGTCCCAGAAACTTCTGCTCCTTTGTAGGCTATCATTTTTTCCCCCTATGCTTTAGACTTACATATTTTTCTCATGTTCCAAGATTGTGATTTTAGCTTGATAACATGATTTTAATCTCCTAGGTCAGATATTGCATCCTGTTTACTTTATCAGATTCTGATTTCTGAGTTTCCTTAGTCTGGCAAGTGGACCTTAATTTCCCTTTACAAGATGACCCACTGTGACATGACAGCTGGCCCCCGTGGGGGCCTCATCTCCAGTGGAAGCTCAGGAGGAGAAGTTGAGATGATGTCTTGGATTTCTGAAGAGAATATTTCCTCAACACGCTGTGGGTGGGAGGAGTGGGTAGATGGTAGATGGAGTGACCTCAGACCACAACAGTGACCTCCTGCAACAAGGCAGCATGCCACAGCTTGGCAGAGCACACTTCAGTCTGGCTTGTCTCCCTATCACTTTTCAAGATCAAATTTGCTTTAAATTTTCTATCCTCTTGGAAGCTTACTCTACTCTGAGTCAGTAAATTTTCTTTTACAAACAAACCTGTTGCTTCTATAAAATGCAGCCATCTTCTCCTAACCTCGAAGGATGGAACATCAGCTAGAATCCACCTCATCACCTTTCATGTATTTGAAGACAGTAATCAAACCATCTCATACTCTGTGGTCAGTGAAACTATTTTGACTTCCTACTAAAACATCCCATTATATCTAGATGGCTTTCTTCAGTGGGAGACACAGTTTTCCAAGAAGGTATGTCCCAAACCTTAAATCTAAAAAATATAAGTGTCTTCTTGTCACATCCATATGAACCCATTCCATCTCCATAACATATCAACATTTTATTTAAAGACAATTTATATAAAGGTAGTCTTTTGCTCACTTACATTTGGCATCTCATTTAAGATGAATTTCAATGTACTCATCCTCCCTAATTTTGCATGCATATATTTTTCTTTCTTCAGGACTATCCATCAAATCTATGTCAGTTTTGTAAAGTCAAGACATTTCCCCCAACAAATTGGTCAAGTGAAGCATATGTTTAAGACCTGCCTGGAGAGTCAGTGTTCACCATCACCTGATGTGCTTTAGCACTAACTATGTAACAATGACTTGTTGGGTCTCCTACAGTACACCTAAGGACATACTCCCCATTTTAAAGTTATACAACCATATAGCACATATGCAAACACACAATTATGAGCCATTCTTACTTTGCACATGAATATAATCATACTAAAAGATTAGCAAATTGAATCCATCATTGTATAAAAACAATAATATATCATGACCAAGTAGAGCTTATTTCAGAATTGTAAGCATGTTTCAACATGAGGAAATCTACTAATGTAATACAACATTAATATATTAAAGAAGAAGAATAATATCACCCAAATTATGCCCCCCAATTCTATACAAATTCAACATCCTTTCTTGATAAAGCTTTAGCAAGCTAGGAAAAGAAGAAAACTCCCTGCCTTCATAACAGTGGTTTCATAGAAAACCTAAACCAAACCCCATTTTAAAAATTAATTTTAATTTTAAGTTCCGTGGTACATGTGCAGGACGTGCACATGTTCTGGAGAAAAGAATGCTGCACAGAGAGGCCAAGAAGAATCTGAGCAGACTAGCCTTGCTGGGTTTAGGTAATGCCCTTTTTGTCCAATCACATTTCTGCACAGCTGTCCAAGCTTTAATCATGGACAACCAATGACGCTCCATAAAAAGCCCAAAGGACACAGTTCTGGGAGCTTCTAGAGAGCTGAACATGTGCAGGTAGATAGGAAGGTGAAGAAGAATTCATCCACCTGCCTGGAAAGTGGCACACCCCAACTTCACAGGGATGGAAGCTCCTGTGCTCGAGACCCTTCCAGACCTGGCCCTATGCATCTCTTCATCTGGCTGTTTATTTGTATCCTTTAAAATATCCTTCATAATAAACTAGTAAACGTGTTTCCCTGGATTCTGTGAACTGCTCTAGCAAATTCATTGACCCCAAAGAGGGAATTGTGGGACCCCTCATGTAGAAGCCAGTCAGAAGTTCAGGTGGCCCAGACTTGTGGGCCTCAACCTTCAACCTGTGGGTTCTGACACCATCTCTGGTTAGTGTCAGAAGTGAACTGGAGGACAGTTCACCACAGAAGTGGTGCTTGCTTGCAGGAAGAAATCCCACATATATTGGGGCCACAGAAGTCTTCTGTGTTGATGACTGTTGTTTTTGTGTGAGAAGAGAGGAAAAACATGGTTTGAGAGTTTTTCCCTAAACAGTATCTATAAAAATTATGTGTAAAATTTGAGCTCTGTAGACTATTTTTTTCAAGTCAAACTATTTATGGCACCCTAGCAGATTCAATAGAAATCCCAGCTGTTGGTTGAAGAGCGGTGGGGCCCTGCCAGGCTCCAACCTCCCCTCCCACTGCATCCTCCACCCCAATCCCCAGGCATATCCAACTAGGTCAGAACTTCATGACTTCAGACCATGGGCTTAGGGTGGGATGTAAAAGAAGTTGTCTTTTGTAAGTGAAAAAACTGAAAGGAAAGCGTCTTGGAGGATCTTTCTATGTGGTGGAACCTCTCGGTGAAGTGAACCAGTCCCAAATAGTCAAGTGTTTCCCTAGAATACTGAGAGGATTCTCCCCAGAGTTACCTCATCACCATGTCTGCAGCAAGTAGAGTTGACATTGAGTATGAGAAACTATCTGAAATAAAGGAAATTCCATCAAAACAAAGTTTAAAAAAGCAGCTGGTAAGCATGGTGTTTAATTAAAGAAAAAGAAATAAGGCAGACCAAACAAGAAACGCCTGGATCAGGAATATCTGAACAAGTTACACAAAGAACAAGACTGAAAAAGCTTTTGAAAATGCCTTAGATATGAACTGAGATAATATTTGCAACTTGAAGTTTATAAAACATTTCAAATTGATCCAACAAAAGAGCTTATTTTAATCATCTTCCCAGGTGCTACGAATATCTCAAGAGTCATTTTGTGATTTCAAGTGCAAGATCCTATGAAGCCCTTCTCAAACACTGTTCTCTGCTTACAGTTTAATAAGGAGCCCGATCTTAGGGGCCACATCACAATGTTTTATGAAGCCCACAGAGGAGTCATCTGTTAGACCTGCGGCAATCATCAAGCTTAGTCCCAGATGGCCACAAAGAGAATGCCCTGAGTCCAGTGTGAGACTGAGTCAGGTAAGAGGACAGGGAGAGACCAGAGGCCAGCCAGCTCCTCCCCAGGAGATTGGCCTAAAATAGGCATTAACATGAGACTTTAAGGGTCAGAGTTTTGGTATTTCTCACCTGTAAAAACGATCATGAAATTCTGAGACGTGGGAGTTGAAAGAGTAGTTGATATCACAAATCCTAACTACCCTTGGTTCTTACTTGTCCCTCTTGGTGACTCCAGGCTACTGCCTCCAGAGGAAAATGAAAAGCGCTGCCAGCCACACACTTTACCCTTTATCAATTCACAACTCTTACTTGATGATACCTCCCAACAACTTGCCACCAGTGTAGACTCACAGCTGCCCCTTTCAAGAAGGACATTTGGAAACACAGTCAACAAGGCTCCCTGGGCTTGGTTACCTGACAGCCCAGAACTGTGACAGTTGCTAAACAAATAGACAGGTGGGTTTTGCCCTTAACAAGCTTACAATCCCACCTAACGTCACAAAACTCACTCAAGTCAATATCAAAAGAACCTCTTTTGTAGAGCACCATCAATAATATAATATAGACACAATGAAGCAAGTCCAAGTAGAAACAATCCCAGACGGGCAGAGGCTAAGTAGAGGCCCCCTTTCTTCTCTAAGCTCCCTAGGTTTGTGTTCTCAACCTTGGCTGCCCACTGACATCACCTGAGAGCTTTTGAAACTTGGGATGTGTGGTCCCACCCACAGAGGTGCTGATGGAATTGATTAAATATCCTGGGAATCAGGATATTTAAAAGCCTGACAGGAGGTTTTAACGTGCACGTGGGGTTGAGAACCACTCATCAAGGTGATTCCACTTTGTGGGCAGACAGAGTTCAGCACCACAGCCCATAGTGCTAAAAAAGGGGACATCTGTGCAATGGCCACTGATTTGGGTGATTTGAAGCTGACTGATGAAATTTTAAGAGCAGTTTGGCATGAGTACTGTTTCTTTGGTGGACAACATCACCCGAGTGACACAGGGTGCCAAAGAGCCAGCAGAGTTTGATTTTGTTTCTGTTCTTTAAAAAGACAGACGTGAGCTATTTACCCACTGAGGGGAGAGACCCAGTAGAGAAAGGGTTTGAAAAACAGAAGGGGCATCCAATTCATCAAAGCTCCAAGGAGACGGGGTGAAGTAGGGTCTGGACTAGAGCTCAGATGTGAGGATTTTCTTTTATGAAGACAATTAGGGGAAAGGGACCTAACACTGAGCAGCAACTCTGTTAGGTACTGGGCTAGGCACTTCATAGGCATGATTTCATTGAATCTTCCCAGCGAATCTGCAAGGACTTCTGTAACACAGAAGGTCCTATATCCAGAATCCCTGGGTCTTGACTATTCCACGTGAATGATATTTCCAAATTGAATACTCCAAAAGAGCAGTGATCAAAAAAAATGTTCATGTAGGCCCAATATAATTTATTATGAAAAGAACTATCTGAAAGTAGTATAATAAGTCCAGCTTCAAAATAAAGGAAATGATTGACAAAATCTGTCAAACATGTGAAAGTGGGTGCCTGTACCTAAGAGATTCTAACTTCTCCCCCCAGGTACCTGATGGCCATATTGTGAGCGGCTGTTCCCAGAGCTCTCCTCCCCAGGGTGCACAGGGCGAAGGACAGAGTCACCAAGGGAGAGTCCTCGTCACTGTCCAGGGTCGTTGAAGGCTGAAAGAGCAAGAAGTTAACTCAGCTTTCACACAGATTCCAATATGTACCAACACACAGGCATAAATGTAGAGTGACATTGGCTTTGTAAGTCAGCCACGTGGTCATCCAGTCCCCTCTAAGATGACCCCACAGACAGGGAATGCTCAGCTTCCTGAAGCAGTTTCTCCTGTGGTTGGACACGGAAAAAAAAATAAAAGTGGAAAAGTTATTTTAGGAGAGAAAAGGGCCTACAATGTGGGCTGATGATCTGCTTTTCTGGGATTTGAAATATGGCACTTCAGGTCATAAAGATGGGCAGTGATTACAGTCAAATGGGTGCCCACCTTAACACTCTCCAATGCAAAGGAGAGGCATGGTCTAGCAGGGAGAGAAAAAGAACTTGGATCCAATGTGAAGGAGAGTCCTCTGTTCTCCCTAAAAGAAGGAGCCCTGTGGGTTGACTGCTAGACTGTAAGTCCACAATCAACAACCAAATTAAAGGAATCTTTTAGCTCGGGCATGGTGGCTCATAACTGTAATCCCAGCAATTTGGGAAGCCAAGGTGTGAGGATCACTTGAGCCCAGGAGTTCAAGACCATCCTGGGCAACATAGCAAAACCCCATCTCCATAAAATTTTTTTAAAAAATTAGCCAGGTGGCCGGGCGCGGTGGCTCACGCCTGTAATCTGAGCACTTTGGGAGGCCGAGGCGGACAGATCACCTGAGGTCAGGAGCTTGAGACCAGCCTGGCCAACATGGCAAAACCCTGTCTCTACTAAAAATACAAAAATTAGCCAGGCATGGTGGTGTGCACCTCCAGCTACCCAGGAGGCTGAGGCAGGAGAGTCGCTGGAACCCGGGGGGCAGAGGCTGCAGTGAGCCGAGATTGCGTCACTGCACTCTAGCCTGAGCAACAGAGCAAGACTCTGTCTCAAAAAAATAAAAAAATAAAAAAATATAATAAATTAGCCAGGCATTGTGGCATGTGCTTCTAGTCCCATCTACTAGGGAGGTTAGGACAGGAGGATCACTTGATCCTAGGAGTTTGAGGCTGCAATAAGCTATGATCATTCTGCTGCACTCCAGCCTAAGGAGAGTGAGACTCTGTTTCTTAAAAAAAGTTGTCCAAAGTCAGCTTTAAAAAAAAAAAAGGGAGGGAGAGTGGGGAGATGCAGAGGAAATTTAAAGTCAAAATATCTTTTGCAAGGAAAATAAAATAATTCCATGAACCATCTGAGGAATGGACAGAGCCATCATGGAGCTACAGCCGACAACATCAATCAATTCTTTGAATATCTCAACTGCTGAAAGAGGCCTGGCATGAGTTAAGATTATTATCACACCTTCTTTGTGGTTGGTCTGGAGAAAGCAGTTTCTGCCACCTGCTTCTTCTCCCACCTGTTTTTAATCACCCATAAGAAACTCACAGACCTTGGCTAGTGTCGTGGTTTGGTTTACTCTTTCTAGGACATGCCACAGACTGCATCAGCTGCTGAGGAAGTTGTTTCTAACTTGTACCCACATTTTCCAACAACAACCCATGGACTCAGCTTTTCAAATACTAAGAAGCAAAGTAAACCTGCTCCCTTCATTTGCTCCCTCCCCCTTCTCCTCCTCCCCTGCCCCTTTCTCCTCTTTTTGTAAACTGTCATAATTCTTGATTATATTTCTAAGAGGCAGGATTCACTTCCAGAAGTGTTCTCAGCACATACGCAATAACAGCACAGACACACAAAATAACGATGACAGAAGTTAAGTTGGACCATCTGATTGCTAAATAGAATTTTCATGTCCATGATTCAATATGTTCAGTAAATCCCCCTGATTTCAGCACAGACACACTTGGTAGGGAAATCCCAAAATGTAATTTTAAACAAAGAAGCTTCAAATGTTTAAGTTATAATAGAGGCTTAAAACTTCGCTGGCCCTGAGCACTGCATAAAGGGATCTATATCTTTAAGTGTCCTTCATTGGAGACATGGTATATTGATTCTCCTATTTAATTTTGCTTACCTTCAATAAACATCTGTCCAAATAGTGCTTTTTTTCTATCCTCTATGTTAAAAGTCTACCATAGAATATAAGAAAGAGATGGACATGACAATGTTCTTTATTTATTAAACTTACATTCCATGCCTCAGCCCCCACCTCCCTGACCTACCTCTTGTCTTTTCCGTGCACAGTGTTGAATCCATTCTAGATAAACATTGCAGAAGCTAGCTCGTGTGATCCCCTGGAGACACGGGACGTAGTCATCATCAATGTTAATGTTGAACATTGCAAGGTCACGCTCAATGTAATGCCACTTGGCAAAGGGCTGCAGGGACTTCAGAAGTGATTCATTTTTGATCCAGGAGAGGAGTTTGGGAGACGTTACCATATAGTATATTATACTCTGCAGAGAAAAAGCCAGGAAGATTTTATTTATTAATTTAATCTTAGAAAGTAAATCAACCTCAGGAAAGTAAGAGGCATGAAATCCCTACATGTGGTATCATTTGTATGTTCTGCTGGGTGTAATGCACAGAACTCATTTGAGACATTCTAAAATGTCCTTTTTTTTTTTTTTTTTTTTTGAGACGGAGTCTTGCTCTGTCACCCAGGCTGGAGTGCAGCGGTGCGATCTCGGCTCACTGCAAGCTCCGCCTCCCAGGTTCACGCCATTCTCCTGCCTCAGCCTCCCAAGTAGCTGGGACTACAGGCGCCCGCCACCACGCCCAGCTAATTTTTTCTATTTTAGTGGAGACGGGGTTTCACCATGTTAGCCAGGATGGTCTCGATCTCCTGACCTCGTGATCCGCCCGCCTTGGCCTCCCAAAGTGCTGGGATTACAGGCATGAGCCACCATGCCTGGCCTAAAACGTCCTCTCTTAAGGGTTATCTTCAACCTCAGGAAAGTAAGAGACATGAAATCCCTACAGATAGTATCACTTGTATTTTCTGCTGGGTGTAATGCACAGAACTCATCTGAGACATTTCTAAAATGTCCTCTCTTAAGGGTTATCTTAGGGAAGAGGAAAGTGAGAAGAACGTAATGCTAACAGAATGTAATGGAACATAATTTGTATGATGAGGAAGAATGACAGTCAGCCCCATCCTTTCTGAGAAAAGCACACAAAAGCACCCTCTGACGGGGTTGCTGTAGGCTTTGGTGGTTCCTAGGCTAGGTTGATTCAGCTGAAAGAGATTGGGGTAGACCTGCCTCCAGAGACCTAGCCAATGAGTATTTAATGAACTAAAATAACAGGGTTTTCAGTTTGTTTGTTTGTTTGTTTTTTGAGACAGCAGTGTCTCTCTCTGATTCCCAGGCTGAAGTGCAGTGGCACAGTCATGGCTCACTGAAGCCTTGAACTCCTGGGCTCAAGCGATCCTCCTGCCTCAGCCTCTAGAGTAACTAGGGCTACAGGTGCAAGCCACCATTTCTGGCTAATATTTTAGTTTTTTTTTTTTGTAGAGACAGGATCTTGTTGCCCAGTCTGGTCTTGAACTCCTGGGCTCAAGCATCCTCTTGCCTCAGCCTCCCAAAGTGCGAGGATTACAGGGGTGATCCACTGTGCCCAGCCAAAACAACACAGTTCTTATGGAAAGCATTGACAATGTGAAATTGTTGTAATCTTCACACACTTAATCCTGAGTGCCCAGACAGTGGACATCTGTGATACATTCACAAGTAACCCATGTTTCCTTCTTAATCAGACACTGTACTTATGAGTCCCACTTGGGGAAAATGCCTCCCTTGGGCTTGATTATTATGAGTAACAGCTTTGTGGAAAGCCATTTTGTAGTTTTTGAATAAATTCCTCCATCAAAAAGGCTAGCACCTGGCCTCAAGAAATAGAAATGGGACAGAGGAAATGAAAATCCAAGCCTGATAGGCTTGGATCAGGGTGTGCTGCTGTGGAGTCCCTGCCAGCGTGCACCGCAGTTCCATTATAACAGAAAAATGCAGGTGGTGCTCCAGGCTATTGAGGCTGAGGGGCACCCCTGGAATGAGGCTGCACATCTCACTGTGAAATCATGAGGGGCTGGAGGGCTCACAGTGTTTGATGCAAGGAGGCAGGGATGTGTGCTCCTGTTAGAAACAAACGCTTAATTGATGCTCTTCTCTGTTTATAAAAACATATTCTTTTTAAGTGAGAAAGCAGAAAACGAATATTGGGTGGACGGAAACGAAGTCTTCAGTGACTGACGCTTGTAAGTGGAGTGGGCTGAGAAACCCTTTTCTAGGGGGGCCCCCACCCTCCCTCTCTGGCTCTTCCCTCCCTCTGTCTGGGAAATAAAACCCAGAGCTCAAGGCCTCAAGTTTACTTGGGTATCTGGTTTCAAGGGTTTTTTTTTAGGACTTTAGCAGGTGAAGAGACAGTCTGTGATTTCCACTAAACAACTGCAAATGCATGACTTAGGCTCTCTGCTGTGAGGACTGAGGACAGCCTGGACTTTGGGGAGGTTCCTCTGTGGTTCATGGCTGATGCTCTCCCTTCTTTTGGACACACCTTCTATTACGCTCCACAGTCTACCTGTCCCAAAAATGAGGAAGTGGAAAAATGAAATCTGCAGACAATAACTAGAATTCAGTAGTGTGCCTGTTCTCCCATCCTCTGTAACACCCCACCATAACCATCCTGGCCTCAGGAAAGCCCTTCGATATAAGGAGGAAGGAAGAGAGGGAGTGATGGAGAAAGAGGTCAAGGAAGCTGAAGGCAGAGGCGGGAAAGAAAGACATGCTAATGATGCCCACGTTGCACGGCTGTTCTGAGGTTTAGAATGAGACAATCTATATGAGGAACTCAGCACATGGCCTGGCCCGTTGATATGTGTATATGTGGAAAAACAGTCATGCCTTTGACATCTGTGACTTACCTACCCAGCAAGCAGGATGAGCGTGGGACTCAGAGGGGAGGCAGGCAGTGGCAGCAGTAGCAGCAGCCCAGGAGAGGTTGAGGCAGAGGGGCGAGGGGACAGGGATGGCATTAGGGGACAGGAGAACCGTTGTGTCTGTGGTGGTCACCAGAGTGCACATCTGATATTCACAAATAGAAACTTTGAATCTGGAGGGTTTTCTCTTGTCTCCTTGCCGGCTGGATCATTTAAAGACAGTTTAAGTCGTCGGCCCAAAGTTGCAAGCAAAAGAGTAACGATGCCCATGTCCACGAGCACCGCTTCTCAGCTGAGCGTTACAAAGGGAAGAAAGAAATTTGGTCTCTCTAAACATCTAGCTCTAGTGAACAGCTGGTCTAGTTTTTCTGCAACATGGCCTAATCACATACCAGATAGGAATAACAAACAAAGACTGAAAGACAAAAGTTTACGTTTTCATTCATTGCTAGGGAGGAATTAAAACAACCCCACAACCGATGAAGTCAGAATAGTCAATGAGGACTTTGAATCCCAGAGGTTAACACTTCCTCCTCTCCGTCTGGCAAAACGCTGCAGTGCTGACTTCAGAACAGAACCCAGCTAGATGCTCAGTTTTCTAAATCACAGCACCGACACTTCTCACTGGGAGAAAACAGAACCACCCCAAATGCTTGCAAGTCATACCCTATCTCCATTTAATCTAGGCAGAACTTCTGTCACGGAGACACAGTCAATGAACACTGTAAAATCCTTCAGAATCTGTCCGGATGAGGTGGATACAACACTAAGTAAAACATAAATCGGGGCAGTGACAATGAATTGATGGGGTAAACCTAGACTGTGCTGAAAGCAGGACCCCTCCTGAATAAATTCACAATATCTGGCTCCTCCAGCAGGGATTCTCCTGGTTCCTCATTTTAACTGTAGATCAGCATATTCTTTCAGACAACTCATTCTAGGAAGGCGGGCCTGGCAGGCAGGCCAACCTGTCGGGTTGTTCGCGCCTCATTCTGCAAGGCCAGTGATAAGCGTGTCTCCTTTCTAAAAGAGCTGCCCAGAAACAATGACAGCAGGAGAGCCAGGCCCACACAGAAAGCAGCAGATTCCTTGACTGCTAAGCGGGTTTTAAACACTAATAATCTGAAGAGAGATGGAGGAGACACGAGGGAAAACCTCAAGTCGCCAGGAAGGAAATGATTTCAAATATATTCATACAGGGTGGGGGAACTGACCCAGTTTATTAGGAGATTTCAAAAAATTCCTTTTGTAGTAAAGGAATGATTTCAAATTTGTCTTCCTTTTCAATTTGCCTTTCCAGTAAGAAAATAATAAACAGAATGAAATCAAACTCTTGAAACTTTAAGTCATTCAGAGCTACAAAGGCAACTTTGTTCACCTAGCAACCATGCCAAAGAAGAAAATCATCTTTTTTTTTAACCCCAAAATGCTGTTTCTTCTGTTCTAATAGGCAGTTAGCCCTCCTGAAATTTCCCTTAACTAGCTGCACTGGGGAATGAGTGCAGGTTCCAAGCCACCCCTTGCTGAAGGGCAGAAAAGCACTGAGTGCTGTATTTGGAGGCAACCTCGCAGGATAGGCCTGGCAGTACCAATGTGAATTAAACACGGGGGCACCGTGTTTTTGGGCATCTGCCCAAAAATCTCAGCCCCATCCTGAGTGCTGACTTGGGAGTTAAGAACATTCTTGTTTCTGTGGGGCACAATTACGTCTGTAGTAGCTCCAAAGCCTACTTGTATATCAAATCACTTAGGAAACTGATTAAACAATATAAGTCCTTGGGTCCCGGGAGGTGGAGGTTGCAGTGAGCCCAGATCACACCACTGCACTCCAGCCTGGGCAACAGAGTGAGACTCTTTCTCAAAAAAAGAAAAAAAAGTCCTTGGGTCCCACCCCAGGCCCATGGAATTCGAATGTGTGGGTAGGACATGGGAATGTGTAGTTAACTAGCTTGCAGGGGAGGAGGGGAGTCTGCTCCAGGTTTGCCCTGGCTCTGGCTTGTGAGAGGCGCCATGCTAGGTAGCACACCCATGCACTGCCTGCCTCTCCTAGCCCACCTGCAACTCCCATTTTGCCTTCACTCTCCTTTCTTAAAAAACAGAGTGGAGGGCATGGTTTCCTCACAAGCCAGCTATTACCCGGCAGGTTCTGGGGGAGCCTTCCTGAGCCCTTTTCCATTTGCACATGATCCTGGATTTGTCAAATGGCAAATTGTCATCTTAGAAATCATCTAGGGGACTGGGAGGCACATTTCCAGCAGTTAGGAAAAAAGAAAGGTGAGTATCAACTACCAGTCCAAGGAAAGAAGGCATCAAAAAGCTCGTCCAATCATGGAACCTCCAAGGCCTCTGTAAAAGCCAACAGGGTTAGGCCAGGGAGGATGGACCCAGACAGGGCATCTCACTCTCATCCCTCCTCCCTTCTCTCCCACTCACGGTGATCTGCTGGCCCCATGGTGACGAGTTGGGCCTGTCCACGTGTCTGGCTCATGGAAAGGCAGGGATGTGGCTCAGTATTGAACCCCAGTCCCACTACTCGTGCCTGCAGCAGGCCACCAGACCCTTGACTGAATTAGGATCTCTTCTGTCCAGACTGTATGGCCCAGACTCCAAATCCATGTTCCCCAGAACCTTTGTTCATTCAGTACAAAAAAACAAATTGGGCCATGCAATAAACAGGTCATCAAGCAGAGCTCTGAGGACCCAAAGAGGACTCAGTTGTGGCTTCTCTGTTTAGGGAACTGCCATAGAGTGAAGTAGGAAAGTTTGCAGAGCAAGGGGAGAGGAATGCTGGGCATGGCCCCGGGCTGTCAGCTGGTGAGGAAGAGCTGTTGAGACTGAGGTTGGAAGAGAAGCTGCGGGCATGTGGAAGGGAGAGGAGAGTCCCTGCAGGAGGAGCAAGCAGTGTGCAAGCATGTGGGGCAGGGAGCACAGGTAGTGTGTGCACAGTGTGTACACAAAACAGTGAGAGATGGGGGGGGAGTGGGAAACACAGCCAGTGGCAATACTGGAGGTCTCTGGGTAGCAGATGAAAGAGTCTAGCCTAATTCTTTCTTTTTCTTTCTTTTTTTTTTTTTTTTTTTTGAGACAGAGTCTCGCTCTGTTGCCCAGGCTGGAGTGCAGTGGTGCGATCTTGGCTCACTGCAACTTCCGCCTCCCTGGTTCAAGTGATTCTCCTGCCTCAGCCTCCCGAATAGCTGGGATTACAGGCTTGTGCCACCACATCCAGTTAATTTTGTATTTTTAGTAGAGATGGGGTTTCTCCATGTTGGTCAGGCTGGTCTTGAACTCCCGACCTCAAGTGATCTGCCTGCCTCGGTCTCCCAAAGTGCTGGGATTACAGGCTTGAGCCACTGCGCCGGGATGAGTCTAGCCTAATTCTTGAGGCAACAGGAAGATGTCAACTCCAGGGCTTATCTACGTGGCTGTCTAGACCCACACTGCTGGTCCTCACTGCCCCCTTCCAGCCACTTGCTTCACGGGCCTGTGAGTCCTCTTGCTCAGTCAGCCCCTGGATCTAGCTGTTCCTGCAACCACCCTGTCCTGCCTCCTGAAAACTAAAGGAAATACTCAAGGGACACTCTCCTTGTTGAGGGAGATAACAGAGATGGCTAGTTACCATTTATCATCTGTTTTCTCCTTCTTCTGTGAACACACGATTTCATTCTGGGCTCATGGCTGCCCAAAGTACACTTTCCAGACCCTCTTCCAGGTGGCATGTGACAATGTTCCGGCTGATGGGATACAACAGGAGGATATTGTGGCAGCTTCCTAGAACCTCATTAACAGACTGCTGATGCATGCCCTTGGTCTTCATTTTCTGTGTCCTTTCCTCTATCCCTTTAAGCCTGTAACTTAAATTGTGGAACTCAAATTTTGGAAGCTACCATACCAACCATCATCAAAGTCCAAGAGAAATAAGCTTCTAACATGCATGCCACTCTTATTTCATGGCTCACTGCCAAATCTAACACAACTGGTATATTGAATTTGCTTAGAGTCTAGAAAGAGAAGATAGGCATAACTCCCTGGTATGCTTCCCAAATCTTCCCCCATTTACATTAGGTTGGACAAAACATGTATAGTTTTGTATGAAATTTGAATATAATGTTTTGCATCTCCAGCACACACAAAGACGGTGAGCACAAACGGCTAAATCTGTTGTAAACATGCTGCCACAGAAAAGGGTTTTGCAAACATTTTGTGTAGCAATCACCTAGGGGATGAGATCTAAGAGCTATTTATCCTTCTGACTTTCACAGCCTATCTTCTGCTTCCATGTAGCTTCAGCAGCTATTGTGGATTTCGGGAATCCCCATTACCCAGGCTGGAGTGCAGTGGTGCAATCACAGCTCACTGCAGCCTCAAACTCCTGGGCTCAGGCAAATCTCCTGCCTCAGCCTCCTGAGAAGCTGGAACCACAGGTATGAACCCCATATCTAGCTAATTTTTCAATTTTTTTGTAGAGATGGGGGGTCTTGCTATGTTGCCTAGGCTGGTCTTGAACTTCTGGGCTCAAACAATCCTCCTGCCTTGGCCTCCCAAAGCTCTGGGATTATAGGCGTGAACCACCATGTCTGGATTTATTCCAAATTTCTCAATGCCATTTGTTTGTTAGCTGGTTAAAACTTTAGGTGCCAAGTTATCTTTTCATTCTGTGTTTCTTATTTCTGCTGGACCACCTGTCTCGGCACGCTGGCAGAGGGCCTTGTGGCCTCCGACGGATGAGCTTCCTCTTTTTGAACAGCATTAAGAGGTGACGTTCCTGTGGTCCATCCAGGACTTCCACCATGCCAAGTCCCCCCATACTCCCAGAATAGGACCCACAGCGAAGATTTCCTCTGCCACACGGCTCTCGCCTGCCCCTTCCCCTTCAGAAAACACCTCAGCCCGGATGAACACTACACATCCTCAGTCAGGTGCCACACTTGTTTTCCAGGAGACTTACTCCAAACTGCCATGATTTCTGAGGTTGAATACAATTGGGCAGATGTAGGCACTGAGCAACTGAAAAAATATGTTATTAGTCTCCATGTGAGTTAGGGGGAAAGGCTGTCACAGCCAATTCTGACTGGATGGTTTAGCTACATTTTGAGTTCTCCTTATGAGCTTAAAATATAATTCTGATTCTAAAGTGGACACTGTGCAGAGCATCTAATTTGACCCTTATAACTCAAACATGGAGGCTTAGAAATATTTATAGGGTATTTAAATTTGTCCTCATCATCAGGACAAGCAAATAATGCTGTGGTAGAAGAGACAAAGAAGACCTAGATAAGAAAACAAACTGCTTATTGGTGCCTAAGCTTAGGATATGACCCAGGGCACAAATCTCAGGTTAAATCAAAGCCCTCTAGGATTTTTCCAAAAGCAATGGTTCCCCAGATGGCTGGGTTTCCAATTCGGAAGCTGAGGATGACAGGCTTCAAAATTTAGCTTTCGACAGAGCTCTTTCGGAGCTTCCTGTGCCATCCTAGCATTTCTGCCTTAGGTGTTTGGGAAACAGAGCAATACCTTGATGTAGTAGCGGATGAGGATCCTTCGGAGGTCAAACACCTGCAGCATGGTGGCCGCGTTGTTGTCCAGGATGCTGTAGCCCTCCAGGATGTACTGGGTCTGCGTGATTTCCCAGGTGAGCCAGCGGAGGTGAAAGGCAGCGTTGCAGGACAGCAGGTGAGGCAAGTGGCCTGGTTTGCAGCAGCAGCAGCCTCTGTCCTCCTCGTCGCCCTCCATGATGGCTTCTACCTCCCTCTGCTGGCAGTAGGTTCCTGGCCGAGCACAAACATGAAGGAAGTTTGAAGAGAAGGCATGCTAGAATGTTTGCTTCAACGGATTTCCCCATGCCTTCATCAGAGGGGAAGAGGCTGAAGGGAGTCGAGGAATCAGGAAATTTGTTTGTCCTCAAATAAGTCCCCCAAAGAAGTCACAATTCTCATAATCATGAACTCTTTTATTCACTCACATTCAGTCTGAGTCTCTGTAGAAAATATATTTAAACGATTTAAAAATTTTTATGGAGATATGAGCTAAATGTCAACACAGAAGAACATCATTTCAGTGGGAGGCAGTAGTTGACAAACAGGTTTTGAAAAAGGTAGTACATACTAGCTACTTGACTTTAGTCCATTTATTTAACTGGTCCAGGCTTGTTTCCTCATCTGTAAAACAGGCTATTGTAAGGATGAAATAAAATGGCATATGCAAAGTGATTAGTCACCACGCAAAAATGGTAGTTGTTCCTATTATTTTTACTAGATTGTGAGCTCCCTAAGGGCAGTGCCTGGCAGGTAGAAATTCAGTAAACACACAAACAAATAAATAAACAAACTGATGAGCTAGTGAATACCTTACTTTACTCACCAAATATTGAGTGCATCCAATGCACTGTGAATACAGCAATGAAACAAATATATAAAATCCCTGTCCTTGTATAGCTTATCAGTTCAGGTTAAAGAAGACAGACACAAAAAAATAATAATAAAGCAAAAAAGGTCTGGAATGACAGGGTGGGAATAGCTATTTTAAATAGGGGATCGGAGAAGGTCTCCCTGGGATGTCTGAGTAGAGACCTGAAGGAGGTCGGGGGGAACTCAGCGCAGATAACTGAGAGAAGGGTTTTCCAGGCAGACAGATGACTACGTCCAAGGCCTTGAGGTGGGAACATACTTATTATATGTTCCTAGAGCAGCACGAAAGTCTATAGTGGAGGGCACAAGTGGGAAAGTAGTAGATGAAGCAGAGAGGTAGCCAGGGGCAGATCCAACTTAGAATGAGTTAGAGGAACGGTTGGATGGCTTTAGCTTAAAAGAAACGTGGTCTGACTTATGTCTTAGGAGGACCACTCTGGCTTGCTGCCCAGAGAAAGGACTGTCGAGGGAACAAGAGTGGGAGCCAGGGCATCACTTGTGAAGCTGTTAGTGAACCCAGATGCAAGAGAATGATGACTTGGTCCTGGGTGGCTGGAGGAAGTGGTGAGAAATGATTAGATTCTGGATACATTTGAAAGCAGTCTGATGAGAATTGTTGATGAATTTCAACATGGGGTATTGAAAAGATGAGAAAAGAATGATGCTAAGGTTTCTGTCCTGAGCAGGATGAAGAATGAAATTACTATTTACAGAGGAGAGGAAGATTGCAGGAGGACCAGCCTTTGAGTAGGAGTGAAGGGAAGATCAGGGATTTACTTTTACATATGTTAAGTTTTAAGTGCCTAATATATCAAAATGGAGATGTCAGGGAGGCAGCTGGATTAAGGAATCTGAAGCTCTGGGGACAAGCCCTGGCTGGAGATTTATAAAATCTAGGAGAGTTATTAGCACGTAGGGGCTATTTCAAATCACCTATATGCTAATAAGAGAGTGTACAGAGAGTATGGAGAAGAGGTCTGAGAAGTAAACTCTGAGCATTCCGACATTTAAAGGTTGGACAGGTGAAGAGATCCCAATAAAGTGATAGAGCAGAAATGGCAAGTGAGTTAGAAAGAAAACCAAGTCCCAAAAGACAAGTGAAAAAAGAGTTTAAAGGAAGAGGGAACATCAGTTACATCAAATGATGCTTACAGGTCAAATTACATGAAGAATTAACTGTTAGATTTGGCAATATGGAGGTGTATGTTGATCTTTGCAAGACGGGTTGTGGTGGAATGGTGGGGGAGGGGTAGTCTCATGAGCGTGAATTCAAGAAATAACGGGAGGGGAAAAAGCAGAGACGGTGAATGTAGGCAACAATTTCTGGAAGTTTAAAAAATCTTTTTGACTTTATTATCTTTCTTGGCACCTTATTGCACAGGCTAGGATCTCCTGTACGCTGCTGAGCAGAAGTGGTGAAAATTGGCATCCTTGATTTTTCCAAAGAAGCATCACTTAGTTTCATTATTTTTCCTCCAATGTTTCTCTATTTTCTAGAGAAACCATAGACATCCAACTCTTATCTCTAAAATTTTCTTCCTTTTACTTGCTTTGGATTTATATTCATCAGTTTTTTCTAGTACGAGGTGAAAACTTACGTCAAGGGTCACTAACGTTTTTCTGTAAAGGGCCAGAGAGTAAATATTTTAAGCATTGTGGGCCACATGTGGTCTCTGTTGCAGCTGCCTCTCTTCCTCCTCCTGCTTCTCTTTCTCTTCCCCTTCCCCTCTTCCTTTTAAAAATGTAAAAGCCATTCTAAGCTCATGAACCCTAGTTTGCCAAACGCTGGCTTACATCTCGATTTTAAACCTTTCTTCTTTGCTAATATAAACTTTTACAGCTGCACATTTCTCTCTATGCATTGCTTTAGTTGCATCCCACACATTTTTTATATGCTGCGTTTTGTTTTCATTCAGTTCAGTTATTTTGTGATTAACTTAGTTATTCCTTTCTTGACTCCTGAGTTTAGAAGTGTGTTGCTTATTTTCCAAATATTTGGGAATTTTTATGATGTACATTTTTGTAAGTTTCGAGTTTAATTCCAGTGTTACTGGAGAATGAACACTTATTATTTCAGTCTCTTGAAATTTATTGAGAGCTATTTGATGGCTTAGCACATGGTGTATTTCGGTGACTGTTTCAAATGCTCTTGAAAACATCTGTATTCTGCTGTTGCTACATGAAGTGTTCTGTAAATGTCAATTAGTTTAAAATGGTTGACAGTATCATTCAAATATGCTAGATACTAATATTTTTGTGTGAATTTTCTATCACTTATTGAAGCTATAGTGTTAATGTGTTCAACTATAATTGTAGATTTTTCTGTTTTTACTTTTAATTCAGTCAGTTTTTGCTTCTTATAGTTCTGTTATCAGGTGTATGCACATTTAGGACTGTTATGTCTTCTTGATGAATTAACTCTTTGATTATTATGAAATATACTTCTTTAGTGTGGTGATACACCTCATCTTGAAGTCTGATATTAATAAAGCTAATCCAGGTTTCCTATAATTAGTGTTTGTAAGGAATGCAACTTTCTATCTTTTTATTTTTAAATAGCACAAAACAAATAGGTGTGAGGGTTCCTAAGACTCTCCAGATCTTTATAGTTAAAACATCTCTTGTAAACAGCATGTAGTTAGGACTTGCTTTTTTATCTAGTCTGATGATCTCCAATTTTTAATTATAGTGATTAATCCATTTACATGTAATGTGGTTATTTATAGGACTGGGTGAAAGTCTACTATTTTCCTATTTGTTTTTATTTATCCAACTTTTTAAATTTGTATTCTTTCCAGTCCTTTTTTTTTTTTTTTTTGAGATGGAGTCTCACTCTGTCGCCCATGCTGGAGTGCAATGGTGTGATCTCAGCTCACTGCAACCTCTGCTTCCCGGGTTCAAGCCATTCTCCTGCCTCAGCCTCCTGAGTAGCTGGGATTACAGGTGCCTGCCACCAGGTCCCGCTAATTTTTCATATTTTTAGTAGAGATGGGGTTTCACCATATTGGCCAGGCTGGTCTTGAACTCCTGACCTTGTGATCCACCCACCTTGGCCTCCCAAAGTGCTGGGGTTACAGGTGTGAGCCACCGTGCCTGGCCCAGTCATTATTTTTTAATTGAGCAACTTTTGGTATTTTATTTTTTATTCTCAATCAGCTTTTTAGCCATACCTCTTTTATTTTTTCAGTTTCTCTAAGGGTTATAATCTGTGTGCTTTATCTTATCACAATCTACTATGAATCAATTTCATATGAGTCCTCCAATGATATAAGACATTACAATGGAATATTTATCCTCTCATGTTATTTGTATTATTGTTGTCAAACGTTTTACTTCAATATGTAATTTAAACCCAAATATACATTCTTATAATTTTTTGCTTAAACAATCAATTCTAAAAGATTTTAAAAAGAAAAAAATCTTTGCTCACATATTTGCCATTTCTCACAATCTTCATTCTTTTGTGTAGAGTCGATTTTTCATCTAATATTGTTTTTTAGCCTGAAGAATGCCTTTTAAAGTTTCTTATAGTGCAGGTCAGTTGGTGATTATCTTAGCTTTTTTAATCTGAAAATATATCTTAATTTTGACTTTATTCTTGAAGAATATTTTTCCTAGATGTAGAATTATGAGTTGATAGTTTTTGTTTTTGATTTTTCTTTATGCACTTAAAAATATTATTCCATTGTTTTCTGGCTTGTATGATTTCTTTTGATAAGTCAGAGATAATTCACACTGTTGGTTCTCTCTATATAATGCAAATGTGTTTTTAAACTCTCTCATGCTCTTGGTAAGATGACGATTACAAATCTCACATGTGCTTATAATTTTTCTTTACCTTTAATTTTCAGAAATTTGATTATTACACATTTAGGTTTGGTTTTCTTTGTGTTTGTCTTGCTTGGGATGTGTTGAGGGCCTGGGATCTGTGGATCGATATTTTTCATCAGTTAAAAAAAATCTGGATAATATGTCTTCAGTTGCTTTTCCACCCCTATTTCACACTTCTCCATTTAGGACTTGAATTACACATATGTTAAAATACTTGATATTGTTTCACAAGACATTGGGTCTCTGTAAGTTTTCTTTAGTCTTTTCATTATTTGCATCAGACTGGATAGTCTCTACAGCCTTGAGTTCATGGATCTTTTCTGTTGTTGTTGTTGTTAAGCCCACTCACTGAATTTTCATTTCAGACATTGTATTTTTTTCAGTTCTAGAATTTTAAGTTTTTGGTGTACTTTTCCTCTCTATTAATATTCTCCATATGTTCATTCATTATGATCATTTTTCCTTTGAAATCCTAAACATAGTATTACCTGGTGGAAACTTTTTTCTATTAACTATAAAATCTTTGAGTGTGTTTGTATTTATAGTTTCATTTTTCTGGTTAAGAGTCACTTTTTTCTGCTTCTCTGCATATCTAGAAACTCTTGTTATATGCTAGATATCATTGATATTATAGTCCTGGCAGTGTGGACTTTTTGTCTTCCTTTTTAAAAGAG
The DNA here is from genome assembly GCF_000001405.40 of Homo sapiens. Classification (NCBI taxonomy): domain Eukaryota; kingdom Metazoa; phylum Chordata; class Mammalia; order Primates; family Hominidae; genus Homo; species Homo sapiens. The sequence goes on from NC_000001.11 coordinate 233,030,544, forward strand.
CCATGTTCTGTCAGGAAGTTAATTTATCTGCCCATCAGGTTGTCAGCTTGATCCTTTTAAAGCTTGTTTTAAATCTTTGGCTGGGAAGGTCCAGAGTAGTCCATATTCCAGGGGGATAATATCTCTACTCCTAAAGCCTGGTCTTTTGGGGGTCTCAACTAAATTCCCAAGATGTTCAGCAAGGTCTCCTCACTGGCTATTTGGAGCTTCTACATTTCTCAGCACTGCGTAGCCTACATAGTCTTTATTTATATCATGTCATTCCAGTTACCATTCTCTGTCAGGCTATGCCTATGCAAGAGCAGGTTAGTATCCATCTAATCACGAAAGGGGATCTCCATGCAGATTTCTGCAGCTCCTCTTTGCAATTCACTCCTGTCTGGTACTCTGACCTACAAAGTCCACATACTTCAGCAGCCCAGGACTCGGATTCTATCCCCCTAGTTCAATAAGACCACAGTACTTTGTTTGGGCTCCACCTTCCTATACTGTAAACAAGAAAGCACCTCTGGGCAGAAAGTGGAGGCAGTAATGAAGCTCATTTTGTGTATTTCCTTTCTCTCAATGATAAGGGCCCTGCACTGCCTGTTGTCCAATATCTGAAAAGTATTGATTAATGTAATTTTTCAGTTTTATAATTGTTTATGATAGTAAGAATATTTCAGTACTGGTTATTCACTCATGGCCAAAAGAATGTCTTTGAATCTTTCTACATGTCTTTGGAGCCTTAATTAAAACACAAAACATTTCGCTTCACCCACTCCCACCCCTATTCATTATTCACTTTTTCTGGGATCTCATATCATTATTCACAGTGTCTGGTAATTAGTAGGCACTAACAAAGTTGTTGATGCATTGATTGAATGGACAAATAAAACAGTTCTTATCCAGATCTCTGTCTGAACAGGCACCAATTGAGGAACTCCATAGCAGTATATTGTATTACCTTACATATGGTGGCAGATAAAGAAAGGCTATGTTTAGACCAAGCCTCTATATAGAACCCAGGAGTGAGATGACCATAATATGCCAGAGATTGAAAACTACAACCTTCAAATCGTAATGCACATTCAGAGCTATTAGGATAACAGTCTATGAAATAGGAGTCCAGGTCAGGAAGGGGAAAAGCCCAGCCGGCTGCATTCATAAAAAGGGAGACAGTTAAAGCCTGATCCCAAATCTTCGGATTCCATTTGTCTTTCTGCCAGACCTCCTTGCTTTGGCTCTTGGCTGAAAGCATTCTTTTTTTTTTTTTTTTTTAAACATTTCAAGGGTCTCTTAACTCATTCTCCAATATACAACTTTTCTTCCCTCTGGTGAAGATGTATAGAAATGCATACTGGACTATAAACAGTGAGGCATCCAGAGAGTAATGACCACCATAACCTGACTGCTCTGCACACTGGGACCCTTGGATTGCAAACCCTAGGCTCCAGTGGGGGTGGGGTCTCAGCCTGCCACAGTGACACATTAACACTGGCTTGCTGTACATTAATAATATAATTTAGGAAGAAATTCTCTTCCAATGGAGGAAATAAGACAGTTTTCTTTCTTTCTTTCTTTCTTTCTTTTTTTTGAGATAGAGTTTCACTCTTGTTGCCCAGGCTGGAGTGCAATGGCGCGATCTTGGCTTACCACAACCTCCGCCTCCCGGGTTCAAGCGATTTTCCTGCCTCAGCCTCCCAAGTAGCTGGGATTGCAGGCACGCGCCACCACACCTGGCTAATTTTGTATTTTTAGTAGAGACAGGGGTTTCTCCCTGTTGGTCATGCTGGTCTCAAACTCCCAATCTCAGGTGATCCACCCACCTCGGCCTCCCAAAGTGCTGGGATTACAGGTGTGAGCCACCGCACCCAGCCGACAGTTTTCAGAAATATATCACACAAAGAAAAAGCATAAAGAAGGATTTTCACTTGAAGAAATTAGCAAAACTGGTTAAACAGCAGACCTCAAAAATGTGAGTTTCATTCCAATTTTCCCCTTCCTTATTCTTCTATCCAGTTCTACCATTTATCACATTGAGCTGAAAGCCAGGGCTTTTTTTTTTTTCCCTTTTCATTAAACTGGGAGGGCTGATTGCATGAGTATGTGTGTGAGTCTGTGATCTGTGTATCCATGCACATGTGTGTGTCTGTGTATGTGAGAAGATGGCGAATTTGAATTTCTGACCATCTGAGTGAAATAGCACAGTAGACTATGAGGAACACACGGGTATCTCTAAACTGGTGAAAGGGCAGTTGAGGAAACAGTTTGCCATGAAGGATGGCTTAGACTTGACAGATACATCGTAGCTGCCAACAGTTGAAAAGCTTAGTTCAGGTGAGTCTTGGGTAATCTGCTCTTAGGAGTGAAAGAGTCACACTCAGGATCATATTAAAAAAGAATATGAAAATAATAAAACCCAGTAATTTTGGAAAATGCACTAATTGCGTTGTCCAAATGTAAATCAAGGCCCATATTCTCAGGAAGACTCAGAAGGTTCAAAGCATATTCCCTCCAAAGGAAATGCTGAAGGTCAACCCGCCCACACAGTGTGACCTTTCGAAGCCCCGGCAGAGATGAATGTCAAGCTGGCAAGGCTGTCTCTGTCTGGTATTTCCATTGAAACTGACTCTTGGCACCTTTAATTGTGGCTGTGTTTGCACTGTCACACCTTTGTCACACCTACCAATGCCAAGCCCAGCCAGACTTATTTATTCCCACCTAATTTCAAGAAGGAATAAACTTAATCTAAAAGGTATACATAGTATGAAAGCAAATGAAGAAATTTAAGTGCAAATGAGAGGTAAGAAAAATACGAACACAGAAACAATGTCAAGGGTCCTAATTGCATTCTAGGATACCCAGTACATTTACTAAAAGTGATCCACAGATTTCACTCCGGGCTTTCCAGAAGCCAATGTAGAAAGAAAACATAAATGGTTTCTTGTGTCTTTAAGGCAAAAACAAACTAATTCCTTGGAAGGATCATAGCTATTTCTGGCAAAGACACCAGAGAGATGATATCCCCAGGATCCTCATAAAGAGAACATTGTGCAATATGGTGAACAACATCCTTAATAACATTGCACAGTAAGTGCAAGCACAAGGTTTGCTGGGCTGTTTTAATATTTCACGGTGCAGGACGCTAGAATATGGTTGAAGTGCAATAAAGCAAAAGTATTTCTATAGGTAGTCAAAACAAGTCAGCCTTACATATGGGGCTCTCCAGAGGCCTTGCATCATCCAAGAGTAGATTCTAGAAACTCTTGAGGACTGGGAGAACTGGATACCTTTCAGGAAATCTTTGAGATGTATAATTTCTGCAATGGACTGAATGTTTGTGTCTCACCCAAATTAATGTATTGAAACCCTATCCTCCAAGGTGATGGTATTAGAAGGTGGGGCTGGCTGGGCGCAGTGGCTCACACCTGTAATCCCAGCACTTTGGGAGGCTGAGGCAGGTGGATCATGAGGTCAAGAGATCGAGACCATCCTGGCCAACATGGTGAAACTCCATCTCTACTAAAAATACAAAAATTAGCCGGGCGTGGTGGCGTGCACCTGTAGTATCAGCTTCTTGGGGGGCTGAGGCAGGAGAATTGCTTGAACCCGGGAGGCGGAGGTTGCAATGAGCCGAGATCGTGCCGCTGCCCTCCAGCCTGGTGACAGAGCGAGAATCCGTCCCAAAAACAAACAAACAAAGAAACAAGAAGTTGGGGCCTTTGGGAGGTGATTGGGTTATGAGGGTGCGGCCCTCATGAATGAGAGTAGTGCCCTCAGGAGAACAGACATGAGAGAACTTGCTCTCTCTCTGTTATGTGAGGACACTGCAGAAAGATGGCTGTCTGCAGACCAGGAAATGGGCCCTCACCAGACACTAGATCTGCTGGCACCTGATCTTGGGCTTCCCAGCCTCCAGAACTGTGAGAAATAAATGTTTGTTGTCTAAGCCGCCCAGTCTATGGTATAGTTGATGCAGCAGTCTGAACTAAGACAATTTATCTTCATCTAGTTTTGACAATTCTTAAGTATTGAGTGGCAGTGAATTTTAATATATTCTCTCTGAGAGGCACAGGATTGTAGCTAATTTGTGTGGCTGGTAGACACACCTGCCAAGATGGAGGCAGGGTTGGCATTTTCTTGGGAAAGTTGGAAACCGAAGAATGGTTGCCTGAACAGAAGGTCCAGCAACCAAAAATCAAACCAAAATATTCCCTTTTTTTGCATCCCAAAAGGCCTCATGAGAGGTACCTTCCTGGCTGGGAGGCCTGGGCCAGAGGACAGGATCCATGAAGAGTGTGAGAGTGGAAGGGAAAGCTAGAGTTAGATCAAACGGGAAACATTTGAACCTAATTCTGTAGGTAACAGGCAGGCAAAAGAGATTTTCAAGTCCCAGGGAAACATGAGGAAAGCTGTACTTAAGAAAATTCCCCTGAAGCCTCTGGGATTAAGGGGAACAGACCAGCGATGGGGAAACCAGCCACCCACAGTCTCATTTCAGGGACAAAGTGATAGGGACCAGAACTAAGGTACAGGCTGTTTACCAAGAGATAAGAGGAAACATGGAGATAATGGGACTTCAAAGGGACGTTAAACATGGTCCCCTGCAACAGAAAAGCTGCTCTGAAAGAAAAGGTTGGGATGATTTATAACCTTCCATTGAGAACATTGCCATTAAAGTCGAAACGCACAACACATTTTCAAGATTGGGCTTCTTGGTCCTTCAATTTCCCTTCTAGTAACTGATATGAGTACTTTGAGAAACAAACCGCAGTTTTTGTTCCCAATAATCAAATTGGATTCTACAAAAAGGAATCTAACTGGATTCATAAAAAAATCCAAAATTTCATCAATATGATTACATTTAAAACATTGTAAATGTTTAAAACTATGCTGAATATATATTTTAGCTGAGTTTTAAAAGGATCATTGCCTTCATTAGCCATTGCAGCATGCCAGGCACTGAGCTGGCGTTCTGCATATACCTAGCACTGAGGTGACCAAGGGGGATGTTAGAGAAGGGACAAAGCTCAAACCACCCACCCATAAAGCACAATCACGCTCTCACTCACAAAGTGGACATTCTTAGACATAGATAGAGCTTAGCCTGTGCTTTTCAAACTGCAGATGGGACTTATAGGCACAAACGTTGGGATACATATGTTGGATTATTAGAAAATGTATTTCCTTCTGTGGTCACATAAGGTTATTCCTGAATTGATCAGGGCTACAAAAAGGAGACCATCAGATATGGCCATTTCTGAGCTCTGAGCAGTTTACTTCCACAGCCCAGAGTGCGCATTACAGGCTGGGAACACAAGATGTGTGAGACAGGGCTCAGCCCCAGCGAGCTTCCTTGGTAGCCCCTTCTGATATCCTCCTGCATGTATAGTGGTAGAGATATTAACAGGAGGAGGGCCCCCATAACATTTTTCTTAAAGCTAGAATTCTAAATTTGTATTGCCTCTTGCCAACTGGTTACATCAAGGGCTGCTTTGTGACCAAATGAAATAATGTCAAAAAAAGACTTTAAAAAGTTTTTGAATGATTGTCATTTTCAAGAAGGTCACAGTGGGATTCTCACCACCCTCCCTCCCTGCCCCACAAACTTCTCCTGCAGCTTCCACGTCATGGCGGGGAACTTTCTCAGCTCCTTTTCTACCCACACTCATTTTCCGGGGACAGAATCCTAGAACATAAGCTTGAAGGAACATTCAGGTCATCTATTCCCAGCCACCTGCTCTTAGAGGACATCTCTGTATTTGTTAGACCTCACTATATTTAATTTGTGGAAAGAAAGAATTGTAAGAATTTTATATTTCAGGCTGGGCATGGTGGCTCATGCCTGTAATCCCAGCACTTTGGGAGGCCGAGGGGGTGGATCACCTGAGGTCAGGAGTTCAAGACCAGCCTGGCCAACATAGTGAAACCCCATCTCTACTAAAAATACAAAAATTAGCCAGGTGTGGTGGTGCACACCTGTAGTCCCAGCTATTTGGGAGGCTGAGGCAGGAGAATCGCTTGAACCCAGGAGGCAGAGGGTGCAGAGAGCCAAGATTGCAACACTGCACTCCAGCCTGGGCAACAGAGCAAGACTCCATCTCAAAAAAAAAAAAAAATTATATTTCAAGGAGCCTCCTTTTTCTTTAAGATTGCACAATAGAAATAAAATTCATGCAGAGATTTTCTAGGTCTTAAAAGATTTATTTTTCTATCTATTGGATTATAGTTGCAAACTTAAAATTTCTTACTCCAGTTTTAAATACTAGAATTTCTAAGAAATGAGCCCCTAGAGAGAGGTAAAAATGATTTTATTTACTCAACAAAGGAATTTAAGGGACAATCCTTCTCTCGACTGCTGTTTAATTCTGATTCTGATGAATAGGGCTTTCCCTGCGATAGCAAAGACTCACCTTCTGGAGGTTTCAGCTTCCCTGAAACCATCAGGGCCAGACACAGAAAGACTGAGTCTCTCTCTTTGGGAGACACTCTCCACTGTAGGAGCCATGACTACTGCCATCATTACCATCACTAAGAAGCTGTCCTGGACATTTCCTATTCCCTAAGTGTCACACATCCACTTGGTAATCAATCCAGTTTAGATTAATCCAATCTTAAAGACAGGGAAACAGAGTGCTAATAGTATAGTTACATGACTAAGGCCACAGAGAAGAACCAAAACAACGAATAGGATCGGCTTGTTGAACCACGGAATGGGTTCAGTTCTTTATTACCTTAGTGGCAACTTCTCCCCTAGTTCCAGTTTCCAGTCCTTCAGCAACACTGGACCTGTGTGTCTTTTTTATTTTATTTTATGTTTTGTAGAGACGGGGTCTGCCTCTGTCACCCAAGGTGGAGTGCACAGGTGCAATCATAGCTCACTGTCACTCAAACTCCTGGGTTAAAGTCATTCTCCCACCTCAGCCTCTGGAGTAGCTGGGACCTCAGGCAGGCACAACCACACCTACCTGATTGATTTTCTTTCTTTCTTTCTTTCTTTTTTAGAGATGGGGTTTCACTATGTTGCCCAGGCTGGTCTTGTACACCTGGCCTCATATAATCCTCCCGGGATTACAGACATGCACCACCATGCCTGGCCTTGTGTGTCTTTTAAATGTGATACTGGGAACCTAGAAGTGTATTGGCCCAGTATGCAATAGACAAAAAAGACAAAAGTAGGTTCGGATAATTTATAACTTGTTTGATTTTGTGAGCCTAGCACAGATTTTATATTGCAACAGTTTTACATCCCAAGGAGCCTCACATTCTTTAAGATCTGCCCACAGGAATAAAGTTTTTTCTGTGACCTGTCTGGCAAGCCAGATTTTAAATGTGTTATAATACCTTTAAATGAAGCAGCATTGGTTTTTCACAGAATTTTTATTTCACAACACTATGTATTTATGTGACACTTATCAATTTAAAAAGGAATGCTTCAGAGTATCTCATTTGATGTACACATCAACCTGGTTATGCAGATGTAGTTTCCAGGGCACTGATTCTCAAAAGAGACTATTCTTGTGGAAGGGTCTGGTCTTTTGAATTTAAAATCAGTATTCTTCTTTTATCACACACTGTCTAATGAGGCTTGACAAATTACAAGCCAAAGTTTCCTGAATTTATTTATTTTCAACCAGCTCATGGGAGAAAATGAAATTAACCAAATCACTAAGTATACATTGTAACTCACATTGGGCAGTTTAGAAGCATAAGAATAAGAAATGTTTAAATAGATGATAGTTATCGCTGTGAGTGATATGATTTCCCCCTACTACTGCCCCGTTTAAAGATGTGAAAACTAATGCACTCAACTCTACTCAGAAGAGTCCTTAGAATAAATATTCTAATTAAAGAATATTTAATTTGCAGTTGTATTACCTTCTTTTTCTCCCATGAATTTTTGTTTGAGTGCTGAATGTTAAGATATGCAGATCCTGTTCACGTTCAGCAAGAAGCCCTTTTTCTTCCCAGACTTGCTATCTAGACAAACATGGCTTCGTCTCTCCTATTAACAGGTCACACAATATGCAATGAAGAAAAATACGTGGTCAGGGATTCTGAATGGAGAACTCATTATTGTATGGGTAAGTTTGGAACCAAGGGATTTGAAAGATTACTCAATTTGTAAGACCTAAGAACTAGGCATTTGCTAATGACCTGAATGTTGTCACAGAGCAGAGAAAATTCTAGATAACTCCAAGATTAGTGGGAAAGCTATTGCTCTGCATGGATTAGCCAGCTATGATAAAGGTTTGGGTTGGATTTGCTTTAGATAAGATTCAGTTACACAGATATTTTTAAATGTCCCCACAGGCCAGTGATTATGGGGTGTTAGCCAAACTATGAGATGGCTGATAACATTTCACACAGACAGAAACATAAATCCTATTTTTTGATATTTTCCAGACCTGGTGGTAATGTGTAGCTACATCCTGATAATTGTGCCTTTTGCTTTCAATGTTCATTCTATAAGAGCCATCTAGGTTTCATGACTTTAATTAAGTCTTGCAGAATGAACATTGAAAGCAAAATTGCTAAGACAGCCAATAATTCAAACAGCTGAGCTGCTAGAAGTGACTTACAAAGGTGCTACCATAATAGCCTTTAAGAATGAATTCTGGTAAAACCAACTTTTATTTGTTTAACTTCAAGAACCAAAAATACTTTCTGAAAATGTTTAATCACTTTTTTTCTTTCATATTCTCTCCTTATTTAACCCACCTTCCTCCCTCTGTTCCTTCCCTCTCAAGCAGGGAGTCTACGGATAGGCCGTGGACCTTGGGGTCAGTCACATCTAGGTGTTCATGCTCCTCTACCACTGGTGACTGTGTGGCCATGGGCACCTTACTTAAATTCATTCACTCAGATTTCTCATGTCGACAGTCGGGTAATAGCACCTACTTACTTTATAGAGCTGTTATAAGCAATATTTTGATAATATAAGTAAAGAAACTAATATGGTACCTGGCATGTAATTGGTGTTCAAGAAACTTGCAACTGTCTACCTTCTAATCCAACCAATATTTACTGGGCATCCTACCATGAGCCAGTCAATGCACTGGGGAGAGTTACATGAATAAGCCATGAAGCCCCAGGCTTTGAAAGGCTCACAGTCTAATAGAGTCTGACTTAGTTAATTTTTCATCGTCTGCAGTAATAAAAAAACCTCAATGCATAAACTTTGTAAGGCTATTGAAAACAAACTGGCTTTGGTTTTCAAATTATTATTTATTGTGTTGTTATCAAGAAAACATGTATTGATTGCCAACCATGTGGTCACATACCTGACACTAAGGATAAGGCCCTGACCTCAGAGATTCATGATGAACACAAACACTCAAACACAAATATAACTTTCATCACAACTTTATTTTAAATAAAAGAACAAAGTAATCTCTATTATTTTTTGTTTGAACTATTAGATGAGCAAAAACTGTAAATATTTGATTGATGGAAATGTAGAAAATATATACAAATGCCGTATCACGTATCACAAGGAAATACTGAGAAATGAGTAAGTTGAGGAAAGGTAGTTACATAAATAATTAAAAAGGCAAATGCCCATATGTCACCATGCATTTACGGTATCATTGTTTTTCTCCTGCTTTTCAAAGACTTGTCTTATTAGATGACTCTTTTCTATTTCCTAAGACCTACCTCCTCTAAGACGATTTCTGGAAAACAGATCTCACCATGAGAAAAATGTAGCAGCCTTACACTAATAAGGATTGTGCACACATACCTCCATGCCTAGATCAACTTCGTTTCAGTTGCCTCAAAGCTTTCCACGCACATGACCCAGCTTTAGATTACAGGATTGTCTTCATCCTCCCATGAGAGAATGCTGCTTTACCGCATGCAGTTCACGTCATTTGCTATGGGAAGCCCAGGATTCCCTGCAGTCTAATTTCCTTGCCTCTCTATAAATTACATTTTCTGATTCCAACTTAACTGTCCCACCCATCCAAATCTCACAATCCTTTCACACATGTCTCCCACCACTTGGTCAGCACTGGAAAACAGCCTCGTGTTTCTCATTGATGCTCTCAGACCATTCTCTCACCCTAACCCCATGCTCCATCTCATTGCCATCTCCTATGGCCTCTCTGGTCATTCCCACTCCTTCTGTAAAGATTGTGGCTCTAGCTCAGTCACTCTCTCCACCACGCCTCCTGCCGTCACTCTTGGGGATGTCAATATACATAGAGATGCTCTTTCCAACATCCTGGTGCCCGGTCCAATCTCTACCCCTGCAATGATCTCTACCCCTGCCATGATCTCATCTTCCACTGAACCTCAGCCAGTCATTCCCACAGTGATAACCTTAGACTTTGATTATCAAAAAATTGCTTTCCCTCTAAAGATATCAGTTTGAAATATCCCATTTTCCAGTAACCACTTCATTTTTCCAGCTCATTTCCTCTAATCGTTCAACTTCAACAATCTTTGCACCCTTCCCAGATCCACGATTCATTAGTCCTGTTTCTTCCCTCTTTCACACCCTCACTTCCCTTCATCCTCAGCTTACACTCCATGGCCAAGTATTATAATCATTGTCACAACCTTACATATTAAATACATTCTCAGCTTCTTGACACTCACTTGGTTCAACCCAGTCTTGGTTAACTCTAAGTCTGCCCTTCCATGCCTACATCCACAATGTTGAATGTGGCTTAGAGAAAAACCACACAGTAATTAATCTTTACAGATCTCTCTTTAAAATAATGATCACTAATCTCAAGTGAGTGTTTCATGCTGCCCAGCATTCATACTACAGGTTGAACATCCCAAATTCAAAAATCCAAAATCTTAAATGCTCCAAAATCCGAAACCTTTTGAGCACTGATGTGATGCCGCAAGTGAAAAATTCCACACCTGACCTCTTGTGATGGGTCACAGTCAAAATGCGGGTGCACAGCCTACAGTTTCTTCAGTGTCCCCAAGGAGAAAACAACCCTCTCGGCCATTTATAAAAGTCACCCAGCAGAAGGCCTCCTCCTCCCTACAGGACCCACTTCTTGGTCTGTCAACTGCTTCTGATGTTTCTTCCCACCTAAATAAATAAAATTCAGTGCACACTAACCTTTTAATAAAACCCAGCACTCTGGGTGGAGACTGGGAGCCTGCAGCTGTCTGCTGCTGCTCTTGCCTAACAGCAGATCCAGGTATTCTGGTGATGACACTGAATGGCACAGTTACCCCAGACACAGTATTTATTCACTATATTAATGGTGTGTCACGTTTTTTACTGTTAAGTCCTTATGTGTGAATAATTATAAGAAAATAAATGGTTATCAGTAGCACATAAATTCAGAGTCAGGAATGATGGTGATTCCAAACAACCACAGATTGCCCACATAGGTGGCCGAGATAGTGACACCTTTATTGTCTGATGCTTCATTGTACACAAGTTTTGTTTCCTGCACAGAATTATTAAAAATATTGCATAAAATTGCCTTCATGCTATGGATATAGGGTTTATAAGAAACATAGATGCATTTTGTGTTTAGACTTGGGTCCCGTCCCCAAGATATTTCATTATGTATAGGCAAATATTCCAAATCAAAAAAATTCAAAATCCAAAACACTTCTGGTCCCAAGTATTTCAAATAAAGAATATTCAACTTGTATATTTCCCTACGCCCTTCATTCTTCCCCATTCCATCTCTGTAACATCTGCCCCTACCTGCATCTGTGCCATATTTTCTCTCTTCTCTTCCACTTCTGTGGATGAACAACCATGGGTTTCAACCTGCCAGCCTCATCCCAGCCCTTTGGATTCCCTCACTTGCCACTGTAGCAAGCCCTCCTCTTTCCTTTGCCTGAAATTCCTCCATTCTGCTTCTTCTCTGCAGTGGTCCTTCTGAAGCCCAATCCTATCCCCAGCTGATAGACTAATACTAAGGCACACTGGCCTTTCTTGTTCTAGCAGGGATCCAGTAGTTGCTCAACTTCTGTGACACCAGCCATGGCCTCTAGCCATGGTATATCTCCCAACCTGGGAGCTATATCAATTATATCCAATCTCCTCCCTGGGAGGGAATTATCTTCACACTGTAACAGGGAGAAGTTCAACTTTCCCCTAAATATGTCCTGTGGTGGAATTCTTTTTTATCCCATGAACTGATGGACTGTCAAAGCTGGGAAGAAACTTAGGAATCACACTAAGGCTCTAAGGAAGAAATCAAGGTTCTGACAGGCCAAGTCCCTAGTGATGCTCTGTATATTCTGATAGAAAGTGAGGAGTTTTCCTAAGTGAAAAAAGATATGGAGTTTTCAAGGGGCTATGCAAGTGACAAAATGAATTATACCCCAGTTATTTCATGTTTAATGAACTAAATAAACACTATGATACAAATTCCAAACAAATACCTGAAAGGAGGAATGAAAGAAGAAGGTGAAATCGTGAGGTGGAAGGGGCAGTCCTGGTTAAGAGACAGCCATGCGGGTTTGACTAGCTCTACCTCTAACTTGCTGTAAGCCTCAGGAAAGCCTATTCATTTCTCTGGGTTTACTTTTCTCACAAGAAACTCCCTCCAACGCCTTCTGCTTTCTGTTCCTATTCTTGTTCCTTCACCTCTTCAGACAGTATTTTCAAGTTGCCTGGCTCCTGCTGTTGGCAGCATGGTGATTCCTCATTCATTTTTCTCCTCTTCTCATAGAAATAAACTAACCCATCAGCCTAGGTCACTTGACTGACTAAAGAAGAGCAGAAATGGATAATCAACCCTCACTTTCCCATCTTTCTGTATCTACCTACACAAATGATGGTTAAATGGGATTTACGATCCAATAGATTCCATTTCTTTTGAAAACCCTTGAACTTGATGGCCCCCATTGGCCTTCTAACATGCATTATCTATTAATTTGGCTTAGATTTTTAAAAAATTATTATTATACTTTAAGTTGTAGGGTACATGTGCACAATGTGCAGGTTAGTTACATACTTATGCATGTGCCATGCTGGTGTGCTGCACCCATTAACTCGTCATTTAGCATTAGGTATATCTCCTAAAGCTATCCCTCCTCCCTCCCCCCACCCCACAACAGTCCCCAGAGTGTGATGTTCCCCTTCCTGTGTCCATGTGTTCTCATTGTTCAATTCCCACCTATGAGTGAGAATATGCGGTGTTTGGTTTTTTGTTCTTGCGATAGTTTACTGAGAATGATGATTTCCCAATTTCATCCATGTCCCTACAAAGGACACGAACTCATCATTTTTTATGGCTGCATAGTATTCCATGGTGTATATGTGTCACATTTTCTTAATCCAGTCTATCATTGTTGGACATTTGGGTTGGTTCCAAGTCTTTGCTATTGTGAATAGTGCCACAACAAACATATGTGTGCATGTGTCTTTATAGCAGCATGATTTATAGTCCTTTGGGTATATACCCAGTAATGGGATGGCTGGGTCAAATGGTATTTCTAGTTCTAGATCCCTGAGGAATCCCCACACTGACTTCCACAAGGGTTGAACTAGTTTACAGTCCCACCAACAGTGTAAAAGTGTTCCTATTTCTCCACATCCTCTCCAGCACCTGTTGTTTCCTGACTTTTTAATGATTGCCATTCTAACTGGTGTGAGACGGTATCTCATTGTGGTTTTGATTTGCATTTCTCTGATGGCCAGTGATGGTGAGCATTTTTTCATGTGTTTTTTGGCTGCATAAATGTCTTCTTTTGAGAAGCGTCTGTTCATGTCCTTCGCCCACTTTTTGATGGGATTGTTTGTTTTTTTCTTGTAAATTTGTTTGAGTTCATTGTAGATTCTGGATATTAGCCCTTTGTCAGATGAGTAGGTTGCAAAAATTTTCTCCCATTTTGTAGGTTGCCTGTTCACGCTGATGGTAGTTTCTTTTGCTGTGCAGAAGCTCTTTAGTTTAATTAGATCCCATTTATCAATTTTGGCTTTTGTTGTAATTTGGCTTAGATTTAAAGCCAATGATTAATCTTTCCACTCTTGAATGTTTTCCTGACAGGCTCCCCGTTTAGGTAGATGCAAGTAATACTCATGAACTCAAGAGCAGTGGGGGCACTACAATCCTGTTTTCTTACGTTAACAAGAAAATAGTTTATTTCTATTCTGGAATATATGAGCCAAAAGAATAGAATAGAAAAATGGTGCTTCCTCATTTGTATTCTTTCTTTTTTTTTTTTGAGACGGAGTTTCACTCTTGTCGCCCAGGCTGGGGTGCAATGGCGTGATCTTGGCTCACTGCAACCTCCACTTCTCAGATTCAAGTGATTCTCCTGCCTCAACCTCCCGAGTAGCTGTGATTACAGGTGCATGCCACCACGCCCAGCTGCTTTTTGTATTTTTAGTAGAGATGGGGTTTCACCATGTTGGCCAGGCTGGTCTTGGACTCCTGACCTCAGGTGATCCACCCGCCTCAGCCTCCCAAAGTGCTAGGATTACAGGCATGAGCCACCACACCCGTCCTATTTGTATTCTTGATATAGAATTTGTATCAATCATTCATTATGGTACCAGACAACAGAAATAGGATGTGCCATGGACCTTGATCATTCTTTTGGGCTATCCAAGATCTACGTCCCTATTCTAGGTTTGGGCAATTTTGTACTGCACCAGAACTACCCCAGTTATTTTTTGTTCACCAAAGCCTTTTACTTTTTCTCCTGGGTACTCAGCTAGATAGCATTTCCTAGCCTCTTTTGTAGTCATGTCAATCGTGGACAGCAGAATGTACAAGGAAATGATGTATCCCAATCATTGGGAAGATTGTTAGGCCAAGCTCATAACAATCTTCCATGCAATCTTCCACTTTCTGCCAGCTTGGTATTGAAGTCCAAGGTGGTCTTGAAAGCAATGTGCTAGGAAATACGTGGAGCTTCTATTTGCCTGAATCCTTGGTAGTGCAGAATGAAACCATCCCCTTCCCCACTACCTCCACTCACTGACTGGACTCTACATGAATGTGTAACAGACGTCTGTTGCATCAGCCACTGAAATTTGGGGCCTAATAGTTACAGCAGCTAGCATTACTTCAATTAATCTACCCATTTTGTGACTCTCAGGGATAGGCAGTCACCACCTCCCATTATAGAAACTAAAGAGTCAGACACTTTCTTTCCCAGGCTCCCTTCCATCTAGAGCACACACGTGAAATCTTGGCTTTGTTAATCTGTTAAACCCACATCAGACATTGACTAATGAGCTGGAGACACAAAGAAGCAGGGTCATGTGGAATGCATTCTGGAAGGGAGGTGTTCATCCAGTTTCTGGGGGCAGCTGCGGTGGCAGTAGCAGTGTCCAGTGTCCAGGCTCATGGTATCAATGACATGATGCCAGTGTCTGGATTCAACAGCCAAGAAGTGACTCCTTCACAGCTGTGGTGTGATTTTAGACTTGGCCCTTGTCCAATAGCTGCAAAGCCTGCTTTGCTAGCCTTCTCAGAAGTCTGTGCCCTTTGCAACATCTTCCAACAAATCCTTCTTCTACTTAAGTTAGCTAGATTTGATTTTTGTAGCTCACAACCAAGAACTCTTATTGACACAAATGCATCCCTTTCAGGGAGAGGAAGACAGGATACTTTCTTGGTCCACAGCCTTGGGGAGCTTGCCTCCTCTCTGGAGTGTATTTCTCATTTTCTGAGAAAAAGTCAGAATCTATCCTGTGAACATTTCATGTTTCCACTGATGGCTTCAGTAGACTTCAGGAGGGAGAACAAGCCCATCTATATTTTGACTGCCTCAGGTTGGGGTGAAGTAGATTAAATTTGACCAAAATAAAGCCATTATTTTGGAAAACAGGAAACTGAAAAGGAAAATGCTGAAAAGAAAACTCTAAAAAATATCCATGGAGGTAAAATAAAACAGACCTTCCCTAGGAATACTGTACTATATGTTGCAAAGAGACATAAAACAGAACAGCCATTTTAGGTTAACTGGATTCTTCCCACAATAAAAGCATAATTTAGGTTTTGTCAAGCTATATGCTCTTTTAAAGTCCCTGTGTCCCCAACTACAACTGAACTGGGTTTAAAAAAAGGTATTGTTTAAGAGTGAGTGGTATTGGGGCAAGGGAACTATCATTTTTTTCTCAAGACGTTGCTATGGTGCCAAAGTGACCCTTATAGCCAGGTTATATTCCTACTGTGGCTGGCAGGAAGAAGGGATATCAATGAGCAATAGCAGAGATCCTCCTGGGCAGTCTAGTCTCACATAATCTCTGCCTCTATCTTGGGGATGGCTACATCTGTCAGTTCTAAGCCTCCTTCTGTATTTCATCTGATGAAATTCAAGGAGTCTGGTATGTTGTTGTAATATTGACAAATAACGCCTCCCTGTAATCATACCACTGTGCAAATGAGGCAGAACCACTTTTTCTATCACCAGAATCTGAGCTGTCCTTGGGAATGGCTTTTACCACCAGAATGTGGCAGAAATGACATGGTGCCTGTCCAGGAAGCTGGGCTGTAAGAATCCTTGAAGTGTTCAGATTTCCCCTTTTCAAACCCGAACACCACCTGGCTGTGAAGATGCCTAGTCTGGCCTCTGGGAGACTGAGTGGTACCATGGAGGAGATACAAGGCTCCAAGTTTGGCAGCCAGCCTCTAGACCTCCCAGCCTGGCTCATCTACCTGCTGAATGAAACTGCTCAAGTGGCCCAGGTGACAGCAGCAGCAGAACCACTGGCCAACCCATGCAACAGTGGGAAATAATACAGCATTGCTATCCTAAACCACGAAGTTCTGTGGTGGCTGGTTATGCCTCAAGATATAATTGATCTAAGATGAGACCAGAACATTTATTGTGCTAGATTAAGAAGCGCTGCTTGTGATGAGGAGCTGACAGACAGAAAAAGCACTGCAAAATTCTAAGATCTCATTAACTTGGACCCTTTAAACTCAAAGATTGGTTAAGTTTGCAAAAAGAAGCTAAAAATGGCACAGAACTTGTGACAGAAACTACAACTCATAATTCAACTAGGTTAGCTCTAAAAGATTTTACCTTAAATTCCAGAAAAAACTGAAAAGCTTTCATCAAAAAAGGAGCAGGGGTCACTGTTCTTATATCAGATAAAACAGACTTTAAACCAACAACAGTAAAACAGGACAAGGAAGGGTATTACATAATGATAAAGTGTTCAATTCAACAAGACTTAACTATCCTAAATATATATGCACCCAACATTGGAGCACCCAGATTCATAAAACAAGTACTTATAGAGCTATGAAAAGACTAAGACAGCCACACAATACACAATTATGGTGGAGGACTTCAACACCCCATTGGCAGCATTAGACAGATCATCGAGGCGGAAAACTAACAAAGAAATTCTGGACTTAAATTTGACACTTGACCAACTGGACCTAATAGAAATCTATAGAATACTCCACCCATCAACCACAGAATATACATTCCTCATCTGTAAATGGAACATACTGCAAGATCAACCACATGCTCAGCCATAAAGCAAGTCTCAATAAATTTAAAAAAAATGGAAATAATATCATCCATATTCTTGGACCACAGTGGGATAAAAATAGAAATCAATACCAAGAAGAACTCTTAAAACCACATACTTACATAGAAATTAAACAACTTGTTCCTGAATGACTTTTGGGTAAACAACAAAATTAAGGCAAAAATGAAAAAAAAAATCCTTTTAAATGAATAAAAACAGGCTGCACATGGTGGCTCCCACCTGGAATCCCAGCACTTTGGGAGGCCAAGGCAGGCGGATCACTTGAGGTCAGGAGTTCGAGACCAGCCTGGCCAACATGGTGAAACCCCATCTCTACTAAAAATATAAAAAATAGCTGAGTGTGGTGGCACACACCTATAAACCCAGCTACTTGGGAGGCTGAGGCAGGAGAATCACTTGAGCCTGGGAGGCAGATGTTGCAGTGAGCCAAGATTGTGCCACTGCACTCAGCCTGGCCAACAGAGTGAGACTCTGTCTTATAAACAAATAAAAACAGAGACACAACATACCAAAATTTCTGGGATGTGGTAAAAGAAGTGTTAACAGAAAAGTTCATAGTGCTAAATGCCTACCTCTAAAAGTTAGAAATATCTCAATTTAATGATGTAACATCACACCTAAAGGAACTAGAAAAACAATAACAATCTAACCCCAAAGCTAGCAGAAGAAAGAACTGAAATCAGAGCAGAACTGAACAAAATTGAGACCCCAAAATCCATACAAAGAGTCAACAAAACCAAAAGTTGATTTGAAAGGATAAAGAAGATTGATAGACCACTAACTAGAATAACAAAGAAAAAGAGAGATGATCCAAATAAGCACAATCAATCAAAAATGACAAAGATGACATTACAATTGATCCTAAAAGAATACAAAAGATCTTCAGAGACTATTATGAATATCTCTATGCATACAAACTAGAATATCTAGATGAAATGGCTAAACTCCTGGAAACACACACTCTTCCAAGATTGAATCAGGAAGAAATTAAAACCCTAAACAGACCAATATTGAGTTCTGAAATTGAATATGTAATAAAAAACTTACCAGAGGGATTCACAACTGAATTCTATCAGACATAAGAAGAAGAGCTAGTACCAATTCTACTGAAACTATACCAAAAAACTGAGGAGGAGGGACTCCTCCCTAATGCATTCTATGAAGCTAGCATCACCCTGATACCAAAATCTGGCAGAAACACAACAAAAAAAGAAAATGACAGGCCAATATCCCTGATGAATATAGATACAAAAATCTTCAGCAAACTACTAGTAAACCAAATTAGGCAGCACATCAGAGTTAATTCACTATGATCAAGTCAGCTTCATTCCTAGGATGCAAGGTTGGGTCAACATATACAAGTCAATATATGTGATTCATCACATAAACAGAATTAAAAACAAAAACCACATGATCATATCACTAGACATGAAAAAAACCTTTCAATAAAATTCAACATCCTTTCATGGTAAAGACCCTCAAGAAATGAAGGATAGAAAGAATACACCTCAAAATAATAAGACTCATCTATGACAAACAAATGGCTGGAAGAATTCCCCTTGAAACCAGAACAAGACAAGGATGCCCACTCTTATCACTCCTATTCAACATAGTACTGGAAGTCCTAGCCAGAGCAGCCAATCCAGAGAAATAAATAAAAGACATCCAAATAGAAAAAGAAGTCAAAATATCTCTCTTCACTGATCATATGATTGTATAGTCAGAGAACCCTTAAAGACTCTGCCAAAAGCCTTCCGGAATTGATAAAATAACTTCAGGAAAGTTTCAGGATACAAAATCAATGTACAAAACTTAGTAGCATTCCTACACACTAGTAACATTCAAGCTGAGAGCCAAATAAAAAACACAATCTCATTTACAATAGACACACACACACACACACACACACAAATACCTAAGAATACATCTAACCAAAAAGGTAAAAGATCTCTACAAAGAGAACTACAAAAACACTGTTGAAAAATATTATGGATGACACAAACAAATGGGAAAACATTCCTTGCTCATGGATTGGAAGAATCAACATAGGAGTTGAACAATGGGAACACATGGACACAGGGAGGGGAACATCACACACTGGGGCCTGTCATGGGGTGGGGGTCTAGGGGAGGGATAGCATTAGGAGAAATACCTAATGTAGATGATGGGTTGATGGGTGCAGCAAACCATCATGGCACGTGTATATCTATGTAACAAACCTGCATGTTCTGCACATGTATCCCAGAAATTAAAGTATAATAAAAAAAATGACCATACTGCCCAAAGCAGTCTATAGACTCTATTCCCATCAAACTACCAATGTCATTTTTCACAGAGCTAGAAAAAAACTATTCTAAAATCCATACTGAATAAAAAAAAAAAGCCCAAGTAGCAAAAGCAATCCTAAACAAAAGGAACAAATCCAGAGGCATCAATTACCCAACTTCAAACTATACTCTAAGCCTATAGTAACCAAAACAGCATGGTAGTGGTACAAAAACAGACACATAGACCAATGGAACAGAATAGCAAACCCGGAAATAAAAAGTCACACACCTATAGCCATCTGATCTTTGACAAAGTCAACAAAAATAAGCAATGGGGAAAGGGCTCCCTATTCAATAAATGGTGCTGGGATAGCTG
Organism: Homo sapiens; assembly: GCF_000001405.40. Taxonomy (NCBI): domain Eukaryota; kingdom Metazoa; phylum Chordata; class Mammalia; order Primates; family Hominidae; genus Homo; species Homo sapiens. The sequence continues at coordinate 233,050,621 of NC_000001.11, forward strand.
GCTAGCCATGTGCAGAAGAATGAAACAGGACCCCTACCTTTCACCATATACAAAAATTAACCCAAGATTGATTAAAGATTTAAATGTAAGACCTCAAACTATAGGAGGAAAACCTAGAAAACATTATTCTGGACATGGGCCTTAGGAAAGAATTTATGACTAAGTCTTCAAAAGCAATTGCAAAAAAACAAAAATGGGCAAATGAGACCTAATTAAACTAAAGAGCTTCTGCACAGCAAAAGAAACTATCAATAGAATAAAAGACAACCTACAGAATGGGAGATAATATTCCCAAACTATGTAACTGACAAAGGTCTAATATCCAGAATGTATAAGGGAATTAAACAATCAAACAAGCAAAAAATAAATAACCCCATTAAAAAATGGGTAAAAGATATGAAGAGATACTTCTCAAAAGAAGACATACAAGTGGCCAACTAACACATGAAAAAAATGCTCAACATCACTAATCATCAGAGAAATGAAAATCAAAACCACAATGAGATACCACCTCACATGAATCAGAATAGCTATTATTAAAAAGTAAACAAAAAACACAAAACACAAAACAATAGATGCTGGTGAGGCTGCAGAGAAAAGGGAACATTTATACACTGTTGATGGGAATGTAAATTAGTCTAGCCACTGTGGAAAGCAGTTTGGAGATTTCTCAAAGCACTTTAAATCAGAACTACCTTTCAACTCAGCAATCCCATTACCGGGTATATATACTCAAATAAAATAAATCGTTATACCAAACAGACACATGCACTCATATGTTCACTGCAGCACTATTCACAATAGCAATGACATGGAATCAACCTAGGTGCCCATCAACAGTAGACTGGATAAAGAAAATGGGGGTACATATACACCATGGAATACTATGCAGCCATAAAGAAAAATAAAATCATGTCCTTTGCAGCAACGTAGATGCAGTTGGATGCCATTATCCTAAGCAAATTAATGCAGGAATAGAAAACCAAATACCAGATGTTCTCACTTATAAAAGGGAGCTAAACGTTTGGTACTAATGGACATACAGAAGGCAACAATAGACACTGGGGACTGGTAGACATTGCAGGTAGAAAAGGGGACAAAGGTTGAAAAACTGTTGAGTCCTATGAGCAGTACCTCAGTGATGGGACCAATCATACCTCATATCTCAGCATCACACAATATATCCATGTAACAAACCTGCATATGTACCCCCAAATCTAAAATGAAAATTGAAATTATATTTAAAAAGGAATATACTAAAATAAAAGAACTTTTAAGAAAAGCTCTCAAAAGAGCTGAGATTCAGAAATTCAGAGAGCAGGACAGTTCTATTGTATTATTGCACTGAAGACACTTATTTCCACCATCTCTCGTGACATTTTCTGGCATCTGTGCTAAATGTAGGGGAATTATCCCTTCTGTGATTACTCTATAGAGTTTTATCACTAGTTCCCTGTTCAATAACCTTCTCCAAACTAAGCCCCCTAAATTAGATTCTTAAAATTCAGAAAAGTGCACGGAATGCACACCTAAAACACAGAACCTACCACTCTAGAAAAAAAATATTTCGTAAACATTTATTTAGGAATGTGAAAAGGCATGGATATTCACAAAACTAATGCTAGAGATTCTCATCCAAAGAACCGAGATAACTGATCATCTTTAGATAATGGTGTTCAATCTGGGAAAACATGACAACTTGTTTTTGGCTAAAAGATGTCCTTTTGTCACAGTGAGGGTTTGAACAGGTATGAATTGGCTCCTGCTCACCTTTCTAGCATTACCTATAACCACTTCCAAACTACCTGCTGAGAACTACATCGGATGACTTGGTGCTTCTTTGTCATCACATCTGCTGCTCCTTAGCAGGTAAGGCCCTTCCTCTTTCTCCTCCATTGAGCTGACCCAGACTCCAACCTGACACCAGTGCCTCTCCTCTGGTCCTTAACCTGGCCCTTGCAGGACACTGTCATAACATTCATTTCATGCGATACTCATTTCACATGAGCTCCTTCCATACCTGTCTTCTCTGTGAGGCTCCCAGCATCTTAAGGTGGGGGCTTCATTTCTGTATTCTTGGTACCTACACTAGTGCATGACATGTAATCAGTGCTAAATAAATGTCTCCTGAATAACTAAGAGACTGTATGTACTAGCTACTTGCATATTCACCTGAATGCCTCCACCACCAGACCAAAAAGTCCTTCCAGGCTTCCCTGTTTTAGTAAACACACCTCTGCCCATGCAGACACTCGATCTAGAAACTTGGGGGGCACACAGAGCCTCCCCTCTTACTCACCCCTAACAGCTAGCCCTTCTGATTCCACCTCCCAGTCTCTGGGCACTTCCCTGTCTCTGCCATCATCTGCTTGGGTGTCCACAATGCAGTCCTAAATGGTTTCCCTGCTTCTACTTTTGTCTTCCCCCAGTATATTCTCCACACAGCCACCAGACCAATCTCTTAAAGTGTAGAGAGGGTCAACCATTCCCTCCTCCAGAGTCCCTACATGGTTCCCCATAACATAGAGAATAACATATAGTCCCTGACACTGGCGGGGAGATCTCACATTACTGGGCTTCCAGCTGCCTCATGTCAAGTTGCCGCAAGCGCTGGTCAGCCCTAGTCACTTGAGTCCTCCCAGATGCCAGGAGTGCTCTGAGATGCCGCCTGACTCATGCACTTAGCAGGTATCAGTCCCTGCACTGGGGACATTCTTCCTCCTGCTCTCCTCTCCAGGCCCTCCTCGACCATCCCATTGAATGTGGCACCTCCTCACCCTCATCCTCTGCAGTGACTTTGGGTTCCAGAACCCTATTTACTTCTTTCATAGCACCTGCTCCAAGCTATAATAAGTTTGTCTGTTTACTTGTTTACTTTAGGTGTCTCTCACTGGGGGTAAGCTTCATGGTGATAAGACTCTTTTATGTCACGTGTCCATTGCATCTCCAGTATTGAAACACTGCCTGATACAGAGGAGATGTTCAGAAAACATGCAATGAGTAAAGGAATAAACAACATAGGAGAAGGCAACAGGTACATCACTTATGCCACTTTCTGCATCCCGCATAACTCCAGCTCCTCATTTGCGGGAAAACTGGAGTTATACTTTCAAGATTCAGGCAGACTCAATAACCATAAAGCAATGAGGATTCATGAAGTGCCTTCTACATGATCTCATTTAAACCACACAGCAACATTATAAGGCAGCCATTCTCATTATTATTATTTTGCAGATAGGAAAGAAAAGCTCTAAGACCTTAAATGATTTGCACGCAACAGATCCCAACACCTGTGACCCACAGAACAAGGTCGGGCTGACTCCATTTGGAACCCCAAATGATGTTCCCCACAACCTCCTGTGGCTTCTGAGTTTTTCCCAGAAGGATTAAAATCAATATCCTGATTTGCTAATAAAACCAATGTCCTGGTTTGCTAATCCACAAGTTTACATGCCATTCTATGTTTTATGTTTTTATTCCTTCAGATGACTGTAGTTTATTTATATCAAGGTAGTGGTGGCAAGCTCACTTTCAGTAGGAAGACATTAAGTTTTTCCTGTTTAACAGTGACTTCTTCCTAAAGTTTTGCTTGATAATTAACTCAAGCAACCAACTTTCAACAGTTTCTACAATGAAGAAATTCTTACCTCGGAATTCCAGTCCTCGAAGTTGAAAGGTGACAAGACCATTTCCAATTTCAATCAGGTGAACAAAGGCATTGAGGTCATCTGAAGCCAAAATAAAGCAATCGCCAGAGCTGTAGTTGCCCCAACGTCCAAGAACTAAGTCTCCACAGAGGGACTCCTGGAGGGTCCTTGTCAAGTGTTCATAAAAAATGGAATTGAGATTGTTGTCATCATTCCCTAAAGGCAGACAAGAAATATGATCAGTGAATGCCTACTCCTTGCTGTGTATCCAGACCTAGGAAACAGTGAGTTGTCATCTGATTAAGGGTAAAATCAGACTCTTTATATACATAAAAGAGGAAAGATGTGTTCTTCCCACATTTTAGTGGATTATATGAGACCCTCCAATTTTTTCCCTCAATATTCTCTCTGTGTAATTTATAGGCCATAAGCAGCATCGATTTATATATATGTGCTATAATATATAATACAAACAATCATTGCTAGTATTATTTGTTAAATACAAATAAATATTTGACATATTATATAACATATAAGTTATTATACTATATATAAATGGATACCATTTGTTCTTAAACTATATATAAATTAAAAATTCAGGTTTATTGAAGAATAATTTGTGTAGGGTAAAATTCATCCATTTTAGTGTACTATTCTATGAGTCTTGAAAAATGCACATAGTCATATAACCAGCGCTTAGAATAATGCATTCATCTGTTGTATATATGAGTGTGTTCTGTTTCACCTTTGAGTAGTATCCCTCTGTATGCATGTGCTACAGTTTGTTTATCCATTCAGCTGCTGAAGGACACTTGGGTTGTTTCCAGTTTTGGTGATTATGGGTAAAACCACTACCAAGAGTCATGAACAGGAGTTTGTGTGAATATGACTCTCCCCATTTCTCTTGAGTAAATGCTTAGGAGCAGGACTGCTGTTCTCCAAAGTGGCTGTACCCTATTTGCATTTCCCCAGCAGTGATTGAGAGCTCTAATTCTGCATCCTTGCCAGGACTTGGAATTGTCCACTGTTGCTTGTTTGTTTAACTTTGGCCATTTTAATTGGGTGGATAATGACATCCAAGGAAGGGTGAAGGAGGAAGCAGCAAAGAAGATGGAATGATGGAATACCTTGCTTCCCGGTGGACAGCCAGGGGTGCGTGTTGAGTGGGGGTGAAATTAGGAGTGCGTAGTGCATTTCCTATATCCTCCCTGCTGAGCCCTGACTCTTTTCCCTCCTTTCATGGGATCTCTCAAGATGAGGGATATAAGATTTTTTAAAGAGAAGATTGGATAACATGGGAAGTCTTCCTGGTCTGTGGTCCTGTGGGTGGAGTAAGCATTGGGAGAAGCCTAGGCAAAATGTTCACGTTCATGACTTTTATTCTAGGAGTAGCTTTTCTTTGGGAGAGGAAATTATGGCTCTGGAAAGCCATAGGCATAGTTGTCCTAAACAGGAAACGCCTAAAGCAAAACTCAATGCTCCCTCCTGGATCGTCTATTTGAGTGGAGACAGACATTCGGGGAGGACAGGGATGAAGACTGCAGATCTGACCGAAGCATCCCTGCTTTGTATCCATGGGAACTGGGGCAAAATCAGGGTGCGGAAGGCAGGGAGTGGTACAAGAAGGTGAAGATGCCCCAAGTGCGCTTACATAAGGAAGATCACCAATCCACCTCTAAGAAATCTACAGAATAACACTATCAAATTATGAGTATCTTTGCTGGCCACTCATGACAGTTGAAAGCTGAATCAAAACTAGAGCATTTATAACTTAATTATGATTAATGGAAAGAAACTGTTCTGTGGGCTGACTCATGCCATGTAGTCTAATAATGTATCAGTATGCTTAATCTTCTATGCAGATGAAGCCTCCTTGACCTGCACTGTATTCATTTTCTCTAATGAAGCAGCACGCATCCTGAGACACTAATTAAAGACACCTTTCAGTCTCTGGCACTTTGAAAGGAAAGGCCTGAATGAGAGAATTAGCCTTTGCTTAATTGTTGAAACTGTTCAATATTTAAATAAAACAAAACAATTGAAATCACTAAAAGTAGAGATTCAACTCAGGGCATCTTTTTAGAACACATTGACCACACATTTGCATAATTAGATTAAAATGAGACAGCAACTATGATTAACTAACAGCACAATGTGCTTGGGAAACTGTCCCTCTGCCTTGTATCAATAGCCTTGTAACATCACAGTCCCACAGCTGCACCTCAGAGATATCAGTACCTCTCCTCCCTCATTGTACTGACATAAAGTTCAACAAAAAATAAGCTTCTCTCTCCAGGTATCTCAAATTTCGAATTTTGATTTCGAATTAATCATGTAGATGCAATTCAAATATAGATAATGAGCACGATACAATTGTTCCTAGACAGATTTTGGGTCACAAAGAAGGGAGTGAGGAGGACAAAAATAGAGAACAGTTAAAATTTGCATTCTAATATGAGGAAAGAAGAAATAGAATGGTTAAAAAAGGAGATTGATTATGGAAAGAAAAAAGTAAAATAATTTTCTAGCAGGTACATCCTTTCATAGCTTAATGTTGACCAAAGTTTCTGAAACCTTCTAGATCCTGGATCATGGAATGCTTTACCTTTAAGGATATTATCATGCTGATGTTTTTCCAAAGAATTTTTTTTTCCTAAAAGACGAATCTCAAGGTTTATAGTCTGTGTTTGAGGTTTACTGCACACGAACTAAAATGTCTTGATTAACAGGGGTATGCAATACTGAGCAAGGTCCTAATCAATTCTAAATAGCGGAGCAATGCATTGTCAAACCAAATCAGGTTGCTTGATCACTCTACCTGCACAGTTTTATTCCACATTCAGCAGATTAACTAAGATGTGCATTGTCTCCACAATGAGTACAGAGTGAGTATTTAATTCTTCCTTTTGAGAATCCATCCATACAACAATAAATAGTTGAAAAAGAGAGAAGAGATCTTCTTACCTGGATCTCTTTCAATTTGGACTGCCAGTCTTGTGTTGGAATTATCCACTCGCCTTGTACTAGAAGAGGCCACAAAAGGGTAAAAGGTCATGATTAGATCCCCCCAAGCAGAAGAGTTGGTTTATAGAACCAGCTGCATGAGTGGAAAATGCAAAGGTGACAGATCTCACAGGTTAAGACGATTGCTGTAGTTTTACCACACTGCAGGAAGAGAGGAGTCTCATGATAAGAGATAGAGGGAGCAGTACAAGAAACACATGGAAGGGAGAGATGAGTAGCTCTCTGATTTGGAGAGAACGGTCTTGTGTCTTAATCAATTTGGAGCACCAGATCTGCAAAATCAAAGCAAGTATTTAGGCTGAGCACGGTGGCTCATGCCTGTAATCCCAACACTTAGGGAGGCTGAGGCAGGCAGATCATTTGAAGTCAGGAGCTTGGTACCAGTCTGGCAAACAGTGTGAAACTCCATCTCTACTAAAAATACAAAAAGATTAGCCATGTGTGGTGGCACACTCCTATAATCTCAGCTACTTGGGAGGCTGAACTTGAATCCAGGAGGCCGAGGTCGCAGTGAGCCGAGATTGCACCACTGCACTCCAACCTGGGTGACAGAGCAAGACTCAAAAAAAAAAAAGCAAGTGTTTAAACTGCCAATGTAATGCTACCCACTTTCAGAACTTGAGAACAGTGTCCACAAAGGTATCTTTCTCTTCAAATTGATTTCAGGAAATGGTGGTGAGTAGTCAACGTCTCCACCACCTGCTTTCAAGAGTGGGGTATACTCTTATAGACCTTTCTTAGGTTGAACCATGAGAATGAAAGCTCTCGGATCATCTGCAGCCATGGTAACAAGTGGCCACTAGAACCAGCTTTGAACCTATTCCATCATGTAAACACCCCTCAGTGCACAGCTTTTGTAAGGCAGCCAGTCCATGACAACCCCTGGCTTCTGAGAGTTAGCCGACTCACTGCAGACTTGAGGGGCAACTGATGAATAACAGGCTTTTCAAGTAACCACCTATACAGATGCCATCAACCCATGTATGCCTCCAAAACCTCACCAGTCCTTGAACTCCACACATCCCCAAAACCCTTTGTAAGTGCAGCGATCTGCTCTCTTGGAGAGGCTATGCCAGCCTACCTTTGTCCTTTTATTTCCAACAATGAGTGGCGGTCTTTAAAGAATGAAATATGAAATTGACATCAGGCCTATGAAATTGACGATAGTCAACTGTTTATTATCACCTACAAAATGGCAATTTCATATGGTTAAATCTGATATATTCGCCATTAAGAAAGGGCTTCCACAAATATATCAGCATCACACATAGGGTTTACTTAAGGATTTGGGCATAATGAAGGTCCCACTGACAATTGTAGAAAGCCTGGTCTTGAACACATCTGGCTCCTGCTTTTTCTTTTTCTTTTCTTTTCTTTTTTTTTTTTTTTTTTTGAGATGGAGTCTCGCTCTGTCACCAGGATGGAGTGCAGCAGTGCAATCTCGGCTCATGGCAACCTCCGCCTCCTGGGTTCAAGCGATTGTCCTGCCTCAGCCTTCCCAGTAGCTGGGATTACAGACATGCGCCACATGCCCAGCTAATTTTTGTATTCTTAGTAGAGACGGGGTTTTACCATGTTGACCAGGATGGTCTCGCTCTCTCGACCTCATGATCCACCTGCCTTGGCCTCCCAAAGTGCTGGGATTACAGGTGTGAGTCACAGCGCCTGGCCAGCTCCTGCCTTTTCTATCACTCCACCCTTTGCTTTCTTTGCTCCAAGCCTGTTGGTTTTCCTTTTCCACCCCTTCAGCATGCCCAGACCTCTTAGTCCTGTCATTCCTTCCTCTCCAGTATCCTTTGCAAATGTTCCCTCTACTTAGGGATCCCTTTCCATTCCCACTCATTTTTCCTCATTGACTCCTCTCATCCTTCAAGTCTCAGCTCAAGTATCACCTTCTCAGGGAAGCTGCCTTGACTCCTGTGCTGCTTGAGATTCCTTTGTCATGTTCTCTTTCACATGTTGTACCTGTACCTCTCTTTTGGAGCACCTGTCAAGGCTAACATCAATCATAACAATGGCAGCTAACATTTATGTAGCACTTGCTTGTGTCATGTGCCTGTTCTAAGTACTTTATATGTATTGGCTTATTATTGCCTCAAAACTACCCTCTGAGGTAGGTACTCATTATACCCATTCTCACGGCGGATGAGGCAGAGGCACAGAGAAATTAAATAGAGTGCTCAAGGTCACAGATCTAACAGGTGGCACAGCCAGAATATGACCTAGGGAGGCTGGCTTAGGAGCCTTTACTTTACACCACATCATACATCTCTTTGTGTAATTATCTGATGATATCTGACTCTTACATCAGTCCCTAAGTACCATGAGAGTAAGTTTGTTGCTCACAACTGGCACATAGTAGTCACTCAATAAATATTTGCAGAATAAATTATTGAATGGTCAAAGATAAGGCTACTTCTGAAGTTCTTGTCCTTATAATATTTGCTAAGAAGAAACAAGACTAGCTGCCAGTCAATGCTGCATATGTGGCTTATGTTTAAACATGATCATTGACATATTCTGTATAATTTAATAAATGAAAAGCACTTGTCAGAAATGGTGCTTAAGAAGAAACCTAAGAATGCAGCCTTCTTTTGTGAACTTGTCTTTTGGGAATAAAAACAGATAAAAAGATATTTGGTTGGAACTATAATTTGAATAAATGAAAAGGCTTGTCTTCAGAAAAAAAAAGTATTCTTTCTTTTCATGTATGTCTTAGACATTTGGGAACCATCTAGGCAAGATCCTGTTGAGTTCTGTGATGCTACGGATGGATTGGAGAGAAGAAATACTGTGTTACATTTCAGAAAGGCTGTGAACCCAAGTATGCTGTTCTATTACAGCTTTAGTTTTCCTTACAAATACTCTCATAGCAGCTTTGAAAAATGAAAGATCTCAGGGTAGCAGAAAATCCAGCAACCAACAAAATTCTTTTTAATGAAGGCTGAAGTCCCACGTCTGCATAGTTAGTCCCTAAATGGAATTTTAATTTCACCTTAAGACCTACCACAAATGGAATTTTCAAGCAGCAGAATAAACAACTTTTAAAGGAGGATTAAGACAAAAGAAAATCATTTACTAAACTCCTTAGGGAACTAAAACACCTTCTAAAACTATGTTCACTGGAAAGCTATCTTTTCAGAAGCCTATAGAACACAGTCTAAATTCTGATGAGCAATAACTAAGTTAAGCTGCCTGTGTACCCCCAGGACCTCTGGCTCTCCACACATTCTCTAAGAGGGTGGACTGTCAGCCACACTGGGTAATTTGAGTTTTCTCCAGTGCTTTCCTCCTGTAAATTTGGTGCTTACCCCTCAAAGGTGCTAATTAGCTCAGTAATTGGATTTCTGCCTTAACTGTCCAATCAAATGAACATCAGCTCTGTAGCTCAAAGAGGAAACAGGGCTTATAGCTCACTCCCCAATCTCAGTGGGAACATGCAATCCTGGTACACATTAGGCATGCGTCTGCATGCATGGTCTTCCTAGCACTTGCCTGACAAAGTCACTGTGCATTGCTGGCTAATGCTGTCCTGAGCACTACAGAACAAGAGTCGTATAACAGGACTCTCCAGAGAAGCGGACTTACTGAGAAGCACCCCTCTTTTATGTTAATACAAAATGCAGAGAGCAGAGCTGGCTTCTTCCCTTCAAACTTGGCCTTTCCACCCCATGGCCAGTCTCTCTAAGTCAAGCACCTTCTCTCTCAGTTTCATCTGAACAACTTAAATAATTTAAAAGTAATTTTCTATATTGATAATGCTTCAAATTCCCCTTTGTCAGTACACACAGTCTATGGTAAAAGTTGTCTTATTTTTTGGTGAGGAAATACTGCTGGCCGGAGTGAGAAGTTTGGTGGGGGTCTGTTCATATAGCAAATCCAAGACAGAGTTAAAAATAGACTGTAATTCTATTCATAGGCAGACCAACCTTAAAGAAATCTGGACAATGAAAAGGCAGCCAGAGTTTAAATACAGGGGTACTGTCTCCTTTAAAATTGATTATATGCACAAGGTACAGCTAGGTTTGTTTTTCTGCCCTTAATTGCTGCTGCTACTAACAATCGTATTAGCTCTTGCAAAGTCAATGGCACTCTGCTGTCACCACGCAGCTCAGAATGATTTGGCACGAGACATTTCCTGAGGACATACTGCTGTACACCCATCAGGGTGAGCACTGCCTCGGATCAGCGCCTTCAGGTGACCTCCAGCCTTACTGGGCCTGGGTTTTGACTTTTCATACATTTGCCCTCCAAGACCACAAACAGCTCAGTTTGGCTGTTTCTTTTTTCAGGTTTGGCAGATGGTCTTGAATAAAAATGGTTATGAGTGCTGGGTGCTTTCCTTCTACTGGATTTTGATCTGAATTTTCAGTACTTTGAAGGTTTTGAGCAACCAACAACTTTGAGTTTAAAGAAAGTTTTGTTGGTTTTTTTCTTTATATTTATTTTTGTTGTTATTGTTTTGTATTTGTTTTTGTTTTTTTTGAGACAGAGTCTTACTCTGTCGCCCAGGCTGGAGTGCAGTGGTGCGATCTTGGCTCACTGCAACCTCCGCCTCCTGGGTTCAAGCGATTCCCCTGCCTCAGCCTCCCGAGTAGCTGGGATCACAGGCATGCACCACTACGCCCAGCTAATTTTTGTATTTTTAGTAGAGATGGGGTTTCACCATGTTGGCCAGGCTGGTCTCAAACTCCTGACCTCAGGTGATCCACCTGCCTCGGCCTCCCAAAGTGCTGGGATTACAGGCATGAGCCACTGCGCCTAGCCCCTTTCTTTGTATTTTACCCAGTTTTCTTTAGCTGCCCTCACTGGGGAAAATTGGTTGTAAACACCTAGCATGTCATTACTAGAAATTGAACTACTATTGTAGTTTGTAAGAACTATGAAAGTGAGCTCCTTTTTAATTGCCTAATATATAATCAGTGTTTCTTCATATCCCATGGGCACCTGAAAAGGTTTTTTTCATTTTCTATATGTATATGTGTTTGTGCATGTGTGTATATATTCTGTAGTATATATTGAAGTTACATTATGTTATTTATTTCTTCTATATGCTTATCTAATTTTTGATCACTTGATGGGTCATGAACTAAGAAAAGTGAGTCACATTTTCTACCACTACTGTGTTTCTATTTTTTAAATAAAATTTCTTTTTTTCCATATAAGTTTTGCTACGTGACTTAATGCATTGATATTCATAGCTTATATTTTCATTGTGAATTTTAGTCTTTGGCATTATAAAATGTTTTTAATCCTAATGGCTTTTGCCCCAAATACATCTGTGTTCAATATTAAGCCACAACAGTAGCTTTAATTTGTTTGCACTTGCCTAATGCTTTCACTTATTCTTTGATTTTCAGCTGTTCCAAGTCACCATATTTAAGGTATGTCTTTTCGCTGGGTGTCCAGGCAGATGTATTTGGTCATATTCCATCTTCATAGTTTATGTTATTATGCTAATTGTATTGTTTCTTTGATTTTTAAACACATTACACTATAGTCTGATTATAAAATTATAAAGACAATTCTACAGAATCAGAAATAATAAGGCAATACTATGAACAACTTTGTGCCAATAAATTTGAAAACATAAATGAAATAGGTAATCCCCTACAAAGCTGTAACATACTAAAAGTAACTCCAGAATAAAAACAAAAGAAGAGGCCGGGCACGGTGGCTCATGCCTGTAATCCCAGCAATTTGGGAGGCTGAGGTGGGTGGATCATTTGAGGTCAGGAGTTTCAAGACCAGCCTGGCCAACACAGTGAAACCCTGTCTCTACTAAAAATATGAAAATTAGCAGGGTGTGGTGGCACACCCTTGTAATCCCAGCTACTCGGAAGGTGGAGGCAGGAGAATCTCTTGAACCTGGGAGGCGAGGCTGCAGTGAGCCAAGATTGTACCACTGTACTCCAGCCTGGGAGACAGAGCAAGACTCTGTCTTCAACAACAACAACAACGAAGAAGAATAGCCCTGTAATTATTGAACAAATAGAATGAGTAGTTAAATAAATACCAAACATACAAAAATATACACATTTGATGAGAATGATTGTTTTAAAAAAGGGAAAAAAGGTAAAGGAGAAAGAGAGGCAGGGAGAGAGAATGAGAGTGGGGGAGAGAAAAGAGAGCTAATAAAAGTTAACCATACTGAAAAATAGGAGTACAACTACATATTACTCCATTGTTGCTGTATAGAATTCTTCTATTGGTCATACATACTGTTATTAATTAGTATCCATTCTTTCTGTTGCTTCTGAATACTTTAAAGATCTTTTTTGATATTAGTGCTGTGAAACCTCACTATTTTGTGTAGAAATGTGAATTTATTTTAGTTTATTATGGTCATGACTTAGATTCCTGAAATTGAGGATTCATGTCTTTCATCAATTTTGAAAATTTTCTATTATTTTCTCTTAAAACTGTGCTTCTCCCTATTTGTTTTATGCCTTCTTCCAGGAACTTCTAGACTTCTAGTTGACATCTTTCATTTTGTCCTCTAAGTCTCTTAACCTCCCTGGAATATTTCCCATTTCTTTATCTTTCTCTGCTGCATTCTGGCCAGTTTTCTTAGATTGACTGCTTTCTAGTTTAGCTGTGTTTAATTTACTATTTAACTTGTCTATTACAGTATACATTTTAATGACTATATGCATTTATTTTTATAAGCCATTTGTTCCAATTTGTCTTTTTTTTCATAACATCTTGGCCTTTTAGTTTTATTTCTTCTTATACAACTTTTTATTCTAAATATATATATGATTATTTCTTTACTTATCTTTAGTTTTGGAGAGTCGAAATCTGCTATTTATTTTATTTCCTGGTTCTTGTTCACAGTGAATATTTTTCTTTTGTATTGCGTAGTACTGGATTGAGAGCTCCTTTCCAGTCAGTTTTTATTGTGGAATTAGTTGAAGATATGTCATGTCCTTTAAGAATAATTTTACACTGGCTTCATCAGCAACTCTAGGGGTTTTACACACCAGTACCATTTTTGTGTTAACTTCTCAATGTGACAATTTCCAAATATGGGTAGTATCGTTTTGAACTCCAAGCCCGCATGTGACAAAAGATTAGTATTGTCCATTCACAATGGAGACTTGTCCCCACTCTTCCCTCTCTCTGACCAGTTGAGATTTCTTGTTCCTTCTCTGTGTTGGGTGTTTCACTTCTTCACTGATGGGGAAGACCTTCAGGGCTACAGCTTTATGTGGAAGTCTTAGTTGAAACTTTCTGCTTCTGTAGGACTAACGCTTCATCACCTAGCCTGGCATAGATTTTAAAATGTCAGTCCCTATGTTACTGAGACTCACAGCCCCGACCCACCACCCACCCCATTCTTCCCAGGCAGTGATAGTGGGTTTTGCTGTTTTCTGCTCCCTCTTTCTTTCTAGCCCTTGGGAATTTTCCAACTTTATTATTATGCTCAAACATGTATCTAGGAGGAATTTTACCATCTATCATTTTTTGATACTTTTAGCAGGTATAAAAGTTTTGAGATTATCTAGTCTGCTACATCTCTGGAACTGAAAACTTCTAAACCAGATTTTCATAAAGAAAAGATAATACAAGTTAGCCATACTGAAAAAATAGGAGTACAACCACATATTACTCCACTGTTGCTGTGTAGAAGTCTTCTACTGATCTTTGTGAATTTTAGTCTTAGTTATACAACTTTTCAAAGTAATTAATTATTAAGTTAAAAAACTAAAATTTTTTTTTCATTTTATGTTTATAAAGCTTGCTGAGTTTTATACCACTCTCTCCACAAGGATCTTATCATGACAGGGTCTGAATCAACATTTTTTCTCTCTGTTTACATTCCCTCAGTGCTTTTCTGGTTTCTTCTATTATCCTATAGATAAACTGTAAAATACACTCGGCAACCACACTGTGTTCAGCCTACCTCAAGGTGAAGTTTCTAAGATTCTGTGTAAACATACATGTGTGCTCACAGGCAGCCATATGGACATAATGAGGCAATTCTCTTACCTCCTAATGTTATTGTAAAAGTCTATTTCCTGAAAGTCTATTTGAGGCCTGCAATGAAAGAATACCCTATACAGAATACTGGTATCCAACATATTATGTTTTCATCATACCATATGAAACTGCAGTAGAGAAAGCTAAGCACGAATAAGAACAATGAATACATGCAGATTGGTTGTATTCTTCCGGAAATATGGAGTTGGTGTATTTTTCCTTATTCCTCTACTTGGTACAACGAAAACCCTGGATTTTACATGTTATAAAAACACCTTCTGAAAGGTAAAAGGAAAAAGTAGAGCATCTGGGCATCATGGGATCCAAGGAAAAACACTGTGGTGAGTTTCTCTGTTTTTATTTTTGCCTCACGTAGCCCAGAAACACCTACAGAAGCAAAAGAAAAAAAAAAAGCATCAACAAACCCCTGATCTGTCTAGCCTGAAAGTCAGGAAAGGCGCAGGCTAAAAAGACAGAAAATTGTAGGTCATAACCTCTCTGTAACAGCCAAATACCACAGATAAAACCATAGCCCTATGCCTATCTGTATCAGTGATAGCAGCAGAAGGGAGACAAATTCCTAGGCAGATAGGGGTGGGTCCCTGGTGAAACCCAACCTTCAAACCAAAGACAAATTAAAGCCTGAAAACCAAGCTGCCAGTTCTAGATAAAGTCCCCAACTGCAGTGAGAACTTCCTCCATGCCTTTCAGCCAATTGAATGGTGCTTTTTGACCAATCAGCATGCACTCCCCCATTCCGAGCCCATAAAAACCCTGGACTCAGCCACACTTTGGGACTACCCACCTTTGGGTAGGGGGTACCCACTTAGGGTCCTCTTTCTGCTGAGAGCTGTTCCGTCACTCAGTAAAACTCTTCTCTGCCTTACTCAGTCTCTGATTGTCTACATAACCTCATTCTTCTCAGACACAGGACAAAATCCTGGGACCCACCAAATGGCAGGTGTGAAAAGCACTGTCACACATCTCTGACCAGCTCACTGAGCTGTGGGCAGTGACATGCTCCTGTTCACTGGACCATGGGAAAGAAGAGCTGTGATCCTTCTGGGGGCCCAGACCTCCAGGCTTCCTGAGCCAGAGCTGTGACAAAGCTATAACACCCCCTTGGGGCTTTTTCTGGTTGCTGGCATCTCTGAGTTTTTAGGTGCCACCATATTCCCCTCATCCAGCGAGGGCACTTAAGGCAGAAGCTGCCTGTGGTATGCCTAGTCCAGCTGCAGCCTCACATGAAGGAGGCATCTGTGCTGGCATCTGGAGCTGCCTGCCCAGCCCCACTGCAGCAGCCTGTGTGCCTGGCTGTGCACTGTGGTCAGACCTCACACCCACTTGCACACACACCCTTCACCATTTTACCCAGGATATGGGATCCAGGCCAGTAGCGCAAACCAAGCACGGCCTGCTGGGCTGAATGGGTGGAGCCTGGTGAAGTGGCCTCCCAAAGAATCCTGTGTCACCAGCAAAGACTGAGTGAGGAACCTAGACTTCCTCCCTTGCCAGGCAATAATGAGGTGCCTCTTCCCCTCCTGTTGAGATGGTGCCAAAAGAGACTGAGTTCAGACTTTCATAATTTTCCTGGGTAAGGAGGCCACATGGGGAGCAGTAATGAGGTACCACTATCCCTCCCATTCAGGAAAGTATCAATAAAGGCTTAGTGGGGAATCTGAACTCCCACCCCCTATCAAGCAATAACAAGAAACTTTCCACCCTCTCCCATCTCAAGAGTCAATAGAGGCTGAGTAGGGAACCTGGACTTCTAACCCCATCTGAAAGTAACAAAGCAGCAACCCCTTTTCTCCTGCCAGAATGGTGTCAGTAACAGCTAGCTGAAACAAAGGTGTAAATATTATCCAGAGGCTCATAATACATAATAGCACCCAAAATGTCCAGAGTTGAATAGAAAAGTACTTACAATCAGAAACAAACAGGAAGACCTCAAAATGAATTTTAAAAGACAATAGATGCCAAAATTGAGATGATGAAATTATCTGACAAATATTTTAAATTAGCCGCCATAAAAATGTTTCAATGAGCAATTAAGATCACTTGAAATAAATGAAAAAATAGAGCTTCAGCAAAAAAAAAAAAAAAAAAAAAAAAAAAAAAAAAAAAAAAGCAAGACTTGGCAAAGAAATAGAATAAATAAAGAAGAATCAAATAATAATTTTACAACTGAAAAATACAGTAACTAATTTTTTTTTTGAGACAGAGTCTTGCTCTGTCATCCGGGCTGAAGTGCAGTGGCACCATCTCAGCTCATTGCAACCTTCACCTCCAGGGTTCAAGTGATTCTCCCACCTCAACCTCCCAAGTAAGTGGGACTACAGGTGCATGCCACCACACCCAGCTAATTTTTGTATTTTAATAGAGATGGGGTTTCATCATGTTGGCCACACTGGTCTTGAACTCCTGAGCTCAAGTGATCCACCGGCCTCGGCCTCCCAAAGTGCTGGGATTACAGGTGTGAGCTGCAGTGCCTGACCAATAACTAAAATTTTAAAAATAAAGTTCCCAACAGCAGAATGAAGGGAAGAGAAAAGAATCATTGAACTGGAAGACAGAACAACAGACTGCTGTCTGCAATCTGAACAACAGAGAGAAAACAGACTGAAGAAAAAAAATGAACAGAGTCTCCAAAACCCATGGGACTGTAATTAAAGAACTAAAATCAGGGTCCCAGAAGGAGAGAAGTTGGAAGTAAAGTTGAAGAAATTCACACCAAAACACATTATAGTCAAGCTTCTAAAATATAAACACAAAAAAAAGCTCTTGAAAGCAACAAGAAAGAAACACCTTATCTAAAAAGGAAAAATTCTGAATTATTGCAGATTTCTTATTAGAAACCATAGAGGTCAGGAAGAAATAGCACAATATGTTTTTAAGTGCTGAAAGAAAATAATTGTCAGCCTAGATTCCTATATACAGTGAAGATATCCTTTTGGAATGAAGAAAATTTCATTCCAAGGCATTCTCAAAGGAAGAAAAACTAACAGAATGTATCAAAGGAAGAAAAACTAAGAGAATGTGTCAACAGATGTTCTACCCTGAAATAATAGGTAAATAATGTCCTCTAAGAAAAGAAAAGAAGAGAAAGAAAGAAAAGAATGAAACTTAAAACATCAGGAAGGAAGAAAAAACACAGTAAGCAAAAGTATGGGTAAATACAATAGACGTCCTTCTCCTCATGTGTCTTCTAAATTATGCTTAATGTCTGAATCAAAAATTATATAGTTGTCAATATAGTTCTAAGTGTATATACAGAAAATATTCATGACATCATGGTACAAGCAGGGGAAGCTAAATGGACATGAAAAGACTTCTACACTTCATTTGAACAGGTAAAATGACAGTACCAGTAGATTTTGAACAATTATTTATATATAATGCTAATACCTAGAGCAAACACTAAAAGATACACTCAAAAATATATTATTTATTTAATAAATCAAAATAGAATTCTGAAAAATGTTCAAGAAACATACAAGAATCAGGAAAAAACAAATGAAAATTACAAACAGAGCAAACAAAACAAAAAATTAGTAACAGATATAAGCCCTAATATGTCAATAATTACACCAAACATAAATACACCAGAACAAATTAGCAAGTAGATGAAAAACTATGACCTACGCTGCCTACAAGAAATTCAAATATTCTTACTTACAAGAAATTCAAATATTGTTACTACTTCAAATATAGTAACATAGCCCAACTGAAAATAAAAAATGAAAAATATATACTATGCAAACATTAATCAAAGAAAAGCAAAAATGGCTGTTAATATCAGATAAAGTAGACTCCGTAACAAAGAAGTTTACCAAAGACAGAAACGAACATTGTATGATAGGACGGTTGATCCACAAAGAAAACACATCAGTCCTAAATATGCATAAGTCAAACAACTCAACTGAAACATACGTGAACCCAAACCTGATAGAACTGAAAAAGCAGACAAATCCACAATTATAGATGGAGACTTAAACACCCATGTCTTAACAAACTGATAAGAAGGCCAGACAGAAAATCAACGATAATATAGAAGAACTCAGTAACACTATCAACCATCATTACCTATTCAACATTTACTGCACACTCCACCCAACAATGGTAGACTACACATTCTTTTATAGTGGCCACAGAGAGTGTACCAAGATAGACCATTTTTCTGGGACATAAAATGATCTCCACAAATTCTTAAAAAATGAAATCATACAGAGTTTGTTCTCCAACCATAATGGACTTAAACTAGAAATACATAACACAAAGAAAACAGGAAAATATCCAAACATTTGGAAACTGAACAGCACAATTCTAAATAAACCATGGGTCAAAGATAAAGTTTCAATAGAAATGGAAACACACACAAAAAAAAGAAAAAAGAAGAAATAGAAATACATTGAACTGAAAGAAAATGGAAATAAAGATATCAAGATTTGTCGAACATAGCTAAAGAAGTGTTGAAAGACAAATTCACACCACTAAATATACACATTAAAAAGGTATCAAATTCATAGTCTATGGTCCCACCCAAAAAATCTAGAAAAAGAAGAGCAAAGAAAACCCAAAGCAAGCATAAGAAATGAAATAAAGAGCAAAAATCAGTGAAATTGAAAAATAAATGAGAAAATCAAAGAGCCAAAGAGCTGGTTCTTTGAGAATATCAATCAATAACATCGAAAAATCTCTAACCAGACTGACAAAGAAAAGGGGAGAGAAAACACAAATTACAAATAACTGTATACACTACAGACCCTGCCAGTATCAAAAAGATAATAGGGAATATTACAAATAATTTTACATGCATGAATTTTACAACCTTGATGAAATGGACCAGTTCCTCAAAAAAACCCACTAATTGCCATAACTTGCTCATTATGAAATACATAATTTTAAAAGCCCTGTAACTATTAACGCCATTTAATTAGTAACTTAGAAACTCCCCCCAAAATGAATCTCTAAGCTCTGAAGGCTTCACTGAAGAATTCTACCACGTTTAAAAAATAACAAACAATAATTATACTTAATATCTTTCAGAAATTATAGGAGGAAGAGACACTTTCCTATTTATTTCATGAAGCTAGTATTTACCCTGATACAAAAACCTGACAAAAACAGCATGAAAAAAATAAAATTAAAGATCAATATCTTCCAATAATATAAATCCAAAAATCCTTAAAAATATATTGCAAATAAAATTCAGCAATATATAAAAATAATTATATACCATGACAATGTGGGTTTATTCCAGGGATGCAAGACTGGTTCAATGCACAGAAATCAGTCAGTATAAGCCACCATACTCACATGGGAAAGAAGAAAAATCACATATGCATGTAGATAAACACAGAAAAAGCAAATGACAAGACCCAATACTATTCATGATTTAAAAAAAAAAACTCTCAGAAAAATAGAATTAGATGCAAATTTCCTCACTTGATAAAGATCATCTATAAAAACCTACAGCTGGCCAGGCACAGTGGCTCATGCCTGTAATCCCAGCACTTTGGGAGGCCGAGGTGGGCAGATCACGAGGTCTGGAGATCGAGACCATCCTGGCTAACACGGTGAAACCCCATCTCTACTAAAAATACAAAAAAATTAGCCAGGTTTGGTGGCGGGCGCCTGTAATCCCAGCTACTGGGGAGGCTGAGGCAGGAGAATGGGTGAACCCGGGAGGCGGAGCTTGCAGTGAGCCGAGATCATGCCACTGCACTCCAGCCTGGGCGACAGAGCAAGACTCCGTCACAAAAAATAAAAATAAAAAAATAAAATGAAAACCTACAGCAACACTGTACTTAATGGTGAAAAATTGAATTACTTCCCCATAAGATTGGGAAAGCTGCAAGGATGTCCACTTTAGCTGCTCTTAATCTCTTTATTTTTTATCTTTTAAGTTCAGGGGTACATACGCAGACTTGTCATATAGGTAAACTTGTGTCATGAGGGCTTGTTGTATAGATTATATCATCATCCAGGTATTAAGCCTAGTACCCATTAGCTATTTTTCCTGATCCTCTCCCTCTTCTTACCCTCCACCCTCTGATAGGTCCCAGTGTGCGTTTTTCCCGTGTCCATGTGGTCTCATCATTTGCCTCCCACTTATAAGTGAGAATATGAGGTATTTGGTTTTCTGCTTCTGTGTTAGTTTGCTGAGGATAATGGTTTCCAGCTCCATCCATGTTTCTGCAAAGGATATGATTTCATTCTTTTTATGGCTTCATAGTATTCCATGGTGTATATGTACCACATTTTCTTTATCCAGCCCAACACTGATGGTATCCATGTCTTTGCTACTGTGAATAGTGCTGCAATGAACATACACATGCATGTGTCTTTAGGACAGAGCGATTTATATTCCTTTGGGTATATACTCAGTAATGGAACTGCTGTGTCCAATGGTATTTCTGTTTTTAGGTCTTTGAAGAATTGCCACACTGATTTCCATATGGTTGAACTAATTTACACTTCCACCAACAGTGTATAAGCATTCCTTTTTCTCTGCAACTTCCCAGCATCTGTTATTCTTTGACTTTTTAGTAATAGCCATTCTGACTAGTGTGAGATGGTACTTCACTGTGGTTTTGATTTGCATTTCTCTAATAATTGATGATGCTGAGCATTTCTTTTATCATACGCTTGGCTGCATGTATGTATTCTTTTGAAAAGTGTCTGTTCATGTCCTTTGCCCACTTTTTAATGGGGTTGTTTTTCTCTTGTAAATTTGTTTCAGTTCCTTATAGATGCTGGATATTAGACCTTTGTCAGATGCATAGTTTGTAAAAATTTTCTTCCATTCTGTAGGTTGTCTGTTTACTCTGTGGATAGTTTCTTTTGCTGTGCAGAAACTCTTCAGTTTAGTTAGATTCCATTTGTCAATTTTTGCTTTTGTTGCAATTGCTTTTGATGTCTTCATCATGAAATCTTTGTCTGTTCCTATATCAAAATGGTATTGCCTAGGTTGTCTTCCAGGGTTTTTATAGTTTTGGGTTTTACGTTTAAGTCTTTAATTCAACTTGAGTTAATATTTGCATATGGTGTAAGGAAGGGGTCCAGTTTCAATTTCTGCATATGGCTAGCCAGTTATGCCAGCACCATTTATTGAACAGGGAATCTGTCCCTCATTGCTTGTTTTTGTCAGGTTGTAGGTGTGTGGCCTTATTTCTGGGTTTTCTATTCTGTTCCATTGGTCTATGTGTCTGTTTTTGTACCTGTACTATACTGTTTTAGTTACTGTAGTCTATCACTGATGGGCATTTAGGCTTATCAGATTGAGGACATTCTTTTATCCTAGTTTGTTTAATGTTTTTTATCACAACGTAGTGTTGTATTTTGCAAAATGATTTTTCTGGATCAATTGAAATGGTCAAGTGTGGTTTTCTCCCATACTATTAATATAATCTATCATATTAATTGATTGTTATGTGTTAAACCACCCTAGCATTCTCATCTGGTCACAGTGTATAATCCTAATAAGGTGTTGAATTTGGTTTGATAGTATTTTTTGAGGATTTCTGCATCTACATTCATAAGAAAAATTGGTCTGAATTTTTCTTCTCTCATGATGACACTCTCTGGCTTTGGTGTCAGGATGATACTGGCCCCACAGAATGAGTTAGGAATCGT
This sequence comes from Homo sapiens, assembly GCF_000001405.40. Taxonomy (NCBI): domain Eukaryota; kingdom Metazoa; phylum Chordata; class Mammalia; order Primates; family Hominidae; genus Homo; species Homo sapiens. Next base: position 233,072,913 of record NC_000001.11, read on the forward strand.
TCCTTTCTTCAGTATATTTTGAAAGATTTGAGAATAATTGGTGTTAATTCTTCTTTCAACATTTTATACAATTCATCAGTGAAGTCAACTGGTCCTGGGCTTTTTCTTTGTAGGGAGTTTTTTAAAAAATTACTGATTAATTCTTTTTATTATACTTGTTATATAGTCTATTTAGATGTTCTGTTTATTCTTCAGTCAGCTTTGGTAGTTTGTATGTCTTTAGGAATTTCTCCATTTCATCTAGGTTACCTAATTTGTTGAAATACAAGGGGTCGTAGAATTCTCTTATAGTTCCTTTTAATTATGTAAGGCTAGTAATAATGTCCTCACTTTTATTAGCAATTATAGTACGTTGAGTCTTGTTTTTAACTTGGCCATTCTAGCTAAAGGTTTGTCAATTTATGTTTTCAAAAAACAAACTTTTGATTTTATTTATTCTGTCATTTTTCTACTCTTCATTTTCATTGATCCCTAGTCTAATCATTCTGTCTGCTTGCTTTGGATTTTGTACACTCTTCTTTTTCTAGTTCTTTAGGTGATTTATTTGAGATCTTTAAAAAATTTTTTTTGAGAAGAGGTCTCACTATGTTGCCCAGGCTGGTCATGAATTCCTGACCTCAAGCAATCCTCCTGCCTCAGCCTCTGAGTAGCTAGGATTACAGGCACAGGCCACCATACCTGGTAATATCTTTCTTATTATTATTATTATTATTTTTAGAGGCAGGGTCTTGCCCCTGTCACCCAAGCTAGAGTGCAGTGGTGTGATCATAGCTCACTGAAGTCTCTAACTTCTAGGCTCAAGCAATCCTCTAACCTCAGCCTCTTCAGTAGCTAAAACTACAGGTGTGCACCACCATATCCAACTAATTTAAAAAAAATTTTTTGAAGAGACCCATCTATCACTATGTTGCCCAGGCTGGTGGTATTAAACTTTTGACCTCGAGTGATCATTCTGTCTTGGTCTCCCAAAGTGCTGCAGTTATAGGCATGAACACCACCATGTCTGGCCTTATTTTAAAGATCTAGGCATTTACAGCTATGAATTTTCCTCTGAGAACTGCTTTTCCTACCTTCCATAAGTTTTAATAAATTATATTTTATTTTCATTCATCTTGAAGTAGTTTTTAATTTTCTTTGAGATTTCTTCTTAGAACCATTGGTTGTGTGTTTTAATTTATATATATTTGGAAAATTTCCAAATTTGCTCTTGCTATTAATTTTCTATTTTATTCTATTGTGGCCGGAGAACATTCTTTGTATAATTTCAGTTTTTAAAAACTTATCGAGGATTGTTCTATGGTCTAGTAGATGGTCCATTGTGGAGAATAGTTTATGTACGCTTGAAAAGAATGTGTACCTAAAAAACTTTTGCTTTGCAAAACATTTTGTTAAGAGGACGAGGCCGGGCGCGGTGGCTCACGCCTGTAATCCCAGCACTTTGGGAGGCCGAGGCGGGCAGATCACGAGGTCAGGAGATCGAGACCATCCCGGCTAAAACGGTGAAACCCCGTCTCTACTAAAAATACAAAAAAATTAGCTGGGCGTAGTGGCGGGCGCCTGTAGTCCCAGCTACTTGGGAGGCTGAGGCAGGAGAATGGCGTGAACCCGGGAGGCGGAGCTTGCAGTGAGCCGAGATCCCGCCACTGCACTCCAGCCTGGGCGACAGAGCGAGACTCCGTCTCAAAAAAAAAAAAAAAAAAAAAAAAAAAAAGAGGACGAAAAGACAAGCTACAGACTGGAATGAAATATTTGCAAAACATATATCTAAGAGAGTACAACTATCTGAAATAGGTAAGAAATTCTCAAAATTCAACAGTAGAAAAAAAGTCCAATTAGAAAATGAGCAAAAGACATGAATAAACATTTCACTGAAGAGACTATAGAGATGGCAAATATGCTCAAGAAAAGATAATCAAAATCATTTGCCATTAAGGAAATGCAAAGTAAACCCAATGAGCTATCACTGTATACCCCTCAGAATGGCTACAATAAAAAATAGTGAAAACATGAAAATACTGCCAAAGATATGAAGAAACTTGATCTCTCATACATTGTTGGTGGAGATGTAAAGTGGTATAGCCCCTCTGAAAGAGTTTTACAGCTTCTTTAAAAAAGAAAAAGAAAACTAAAAAAAATACTACATTATGAGACAGCAATGGCATTCTTGGAAATTATCTCAGAGAAGTGAAGATTTATGTTCACATAAAAACCTATAAACAAGTGTCCAAAGAAGCTTTATTCATAATAGCTCCAAACTGGAAACAACCCAGAAGTCCTTCAATGGATGACTTATTAGACTCTGACACATCCATACCACGGAACTACTCAGCAATATAATAAAATAAACTAATGACACATACAACTTGGATGAATCTCCACTGAATTATGTTGTGTGAAAATAGGCAATCCCAAAAGGTTAAACAGTGTAGGATTCCATTTATATAACATTCTTGGAATGACAAAATTATAAAGATGGAGAACAGATTAGAGGTTGACAGGAGTTATGAAGGGATGGGGACAGGAAGGAAGTATGTGTGCTCTCCAACAGGAGAGGTCTCTGTGGTGATGGAAATCTTCTGGTTTTTTGTATTTGTTTGTTTGTTTGTTACGTGTCACTAATTTGAAGCTTGGATAGAAATCTTCTGTATCTTGAATGTATCAACATCAATATCTAGGTTGTGATAGTTTTGCAAAATGTTATCCCTGGGGGAAACTGGTAAAGAATACATGGGCTCTGTCTCTATTGTTTCATTCAACTGCATTTGAATCTGCAGTTAGCTTAAAACACACACACACACACACACACACACACACACACACACACACAACAGAAAAGAAATCTCCATTGCAAATAGCAGGCCTGAACATAGTGACTACCATGCATTCATCTACAATTTGTATCTCTGATTCTAACGTGCTTACACCTTAAATTAGTATTATTTCTTCCATTTCAGCAAGAAAAATCCAAGACTACTCAATATTTTAAATACAGAATATGAACTTCAACTATTCATTCAGTGGAAAGTCATAAATATTTAGGGGGTGAAAAGTGTTTCTTCTCTTTCTGCAAATGCAACTAATAAAAATAGTAATAAAAAATCCAAGTTGCTTGCTGTTGGGCAAAAAGTCAGCCAACTGGGAAATTGAATAAATGAAGAGGCAGACAGTTTTAAGTGATTCATAAAGATTAAATTATCAGAGTACTGCTGAGTTTTCCCCCAAGTTTAATTTGACTGATTTAAGGTTTCGACTTCTGGCTGTTACATTCTTCTGGTAAAAGGGGAGGTCCAATGCCATTTATTTGAGTGTTTTATTTAGAGTTGTGAGTGAAACTTCTCCTGGGGATGAAGACATGTTTATTTCATTCATAAGTTACCTGTGGTGTATACAGGATTTGGATCAAGATGAACCGGGCTTTTGACATGCATTTCCCCATATAGCAAAAAGAAACTATGATCTTTAGCAATGGAACTGCAGTAATTTGTGCAGTGACACACTCAGCTGTGATGAGTTAAGTCAGGACCTTCAGTTTTTGTAGCCACTTGTCTCGGGAGAGGCAGCAACTTGAGAAGACACATTCTCTGAACACAATGCCCATTATACCCGGTGCAGTTTTCTAGTTGAGGGATTTGGCGTTAATAAAATCACACAGCAACGTTTCTTGCTCAGACGGACCTCACTTTTCCTTTGCTATTTCCTTCACTCCTAAAAGTGTAACACTGTACTTCGCTCACTTTAAATCTTAAAATCTATTACCAAATCAAATCCAACTAAAATTACACTTCTTATTCTACAATCATCTTGAGACACCTTGTCAAATCATTTACACCTTGACTAAACTTATAAATGAAGAAATTTATTATATGCAAGTTTGACATCTCATGTTTGCATTTTTATGATATGGTACCCCATGTAAAATAATTTGGCTTGGAAACACTGCACTAATGACAAGGTGAGGGGAAGGGGAGTGCCCAAGAACAAGTCTGCAGCTGTAAGTCAACAAACATGATTTCTGGTTTTTCATTTGATTTATGATTTATTAAATTATTTGAGGGGTGTAAAGGAGGATCACCTCATTATTCTGACCCCTAGTTTTCTGAATGTCTAAAATAGCAAATAAACATAGCATAGGGCTTTTGGTAGGAAATTAAAACACAGAGCCACATCTATGACTGCCTACTGCAAAACTAAACAGGTAGTCACTTTAGCCTTGTAACAGACCAGTCACCCAAGGGAAGGATAAGTGACAAAGAATGAATAGGAAATAGTTCTATGTCACTGCATCAGTACATCTGGGTATAGATTTTATTTTGGTGGGGGGAAGGAATAGTATTTTTCATTCTGACAATATTTTACATTTGTTTTTAAATTAGATTTTTCAAATACTAAGATTGTGTCAAATCTTGACTCCAGGAGCACAGGGACAAAATTTGACAGAAAATGAGTTCACTCATCTCTCCTCAACCCTCACCGGTGTTTTCCTAAAACAGCCTCTTGGAAAACAGGGAAAAACACCCTCAGAAGCCTTCCCCAGTGGCTCCTGTTTACCAGTGATAACGTTAACTATCAAGTGAGTGCTCTACTATTCTGCACTACTCCTAAAATTAGGCTTTTTGAAACTTTTCCTACCCAAACAATTTTCTTTAACATCTACTAAGATCTCTCTTTCCTTCCTTTCTCCCAAGTCTGTCCTATGCCTCTCTCACAAAGTCTTCCCTGACTACAGGCAAATAAGCTCCAACTACGCAACCTCTAAAGCCAATAATAATCAATTTAGAAAGCACCCTACTAAGATATTACAAAATATAAAAAGAAATATAAATATTAAATTGCCCTTATTTTTACTGGGTAATTTTTTTCTAATTCTCATGTATATAATTATTTTGACTTTACTGGCCACTTTTCATTTAAAAAATCATGAAAGGGAGCATCTATTTAGTTTACAGGGAGAGCCAAACACAGCAATCCACAGGTGAAAGAGCATTATAAGCCCTATGGAGTGGAGATGATGACAGAATGCTTCCAAAGTGACAAGAAAAATTAGAGAATGGTTTTGTATATTCACATTATATATTAATTCCACTCATGAATCAAGAGCACTGTGTACCAAGAAGCAGCAACTCTATGTAAGGCCTGGGCAAGGTCTTTGCTTTCAATAAAGTAGGATTAGAGTCAGTCTTAGAAACATGCTCAGAGTCACAAGATTAAACAAGCACATGGCTATCAGAATCCTACAGAATGAGTCTCACAGAGCCTCAAATGCAAAAGCCTCCCAGTACCTACAGTGGTCTGCTGTTATAACAAAGAATGAGAACACACCGTGGAGTGTCCTGTGACAGTCACTTGGAGTATTGGCCGATCTCAGGGAAGACGTTTTAATTAGAAATGCTCAGGATTCTTGGCCTTGGGGATTAAACCCTCACTGTCCAGATGTTTCAAATCTGCCTAAGAAATCTCCTGCATCATATTTATTTGAGCCACGTAGTAAAACAGTTTAAGACAATGTAAATTTAAAAGCTGCATATGTCCTGCCTTTCTTTGTTTAGAATAAATCAGTTCCATCTCTAACACTTTCCTAAAAGCTGGACAAACTAAGGATCCTCCTCTCACTTGCTATAGTGATTTAGAACAGGGTTCTGCCCTCCTGCTGTACAAGGCTTACACTCCCTGCGACCATCCATCTACCTGAATCACTCACAAAGCCTCGCTCCTGGGTGACCTTGAAGCATCAGCAGCAGCAGACAGCTGGGAAGCAGCTGGCACGTTCAACGCTTCCCTGCAGTCGCATGGTCGGCTACACTATTCTGCACTTTTCAAATACTTTAACTGCTCAGCAAAAACTAACAGGACCCTGAGTAAAATTATGCACAACAGCACAATGCATAATAAGCTCAAAGCAATGCTGTTTGAGAAATTCAACATACTGGACTTCCTCAAAAGCATCAGTTTTCTGGAATATATGTGTATAATAGTTCATTTCCATACCTCACGTGTCAAACCTTACATGCAAGAGTTTCTTCATCCGTCAGCAAAACAGTGGGATGGGGTCAAGTTCATAATTTGGCTTCTCAGAAGTAACAGCATTCAGACACAAATTCTAGGTGAGGAAATCTGAGGCAGAGAAGGGAAGTGGAAGGACCAGCCTAAGTCACAGGGCACCTTGGTGATTGGGCAAGGGGAGCTTAAAGCTCTTTTGTCTGCCACTCAGCCCTGGAGGTACAATAGGGGATGGATGCCAGCACCTTCTCTGGCATTCTAGGCTACTTAGTGACACAGAATTATGGCAATAAAGGTATGCTTTTGCGCCATCACTCTCTAAAACTAAAAGGTGGCCGGGTGTGGTGGCTTACACCTGTAATTCCAGCACTTTGGGAGGCCGAGGCGAGCAGATCACGAGGTCAGGAGTTTGAGACCAGACTGGCCAATGTAGTGAAACCCCCGTCTCTACTAAAAATACAAAACATTAGTAGGGCATGGTGGCAGGCACCTGTAATCCCAACTACTTGGGAGGCTGAGGCGGGAGAATCACTTGAAGCTGGGAGGAGGAGGAGGTTGCAATGAGCCGAGATCATGCCATTACACTCCAGCCTGGGCGACAGTGCAACACTCCGTCTCAAAAAAAAAAAAAAAAAAGTAAAAGGTAAGGGAGAAGGATTCCTTTGATAAAAGCCATTACTTTCTTTTATTAGGAGTCTTTTGATTTCAAGTGACAGAAAACTCAACTCAAAATGGCTTAAGTGAAATAAAGAATTCAGTGGCTCACAAAGCTGAAAGGCCCTTTTAAGCCTCGGTGGACTCAGGGGATAGGGGAGTGTCATCATTCTCTGTGTCCCTCGGCCCAGCCTTCCTTTGTGTTCGCTGTGTCCTCAGGACAGTTCTTGCTTTGTGGTGCTAAAGGACTGCTAACAGCAATAGGCTTGCACCCCACACCACCAAGTCCACTGGGAAGGAAGGAAATTCCCTTCCCTGCTGGTCCCCAAACACTAAAGTCCCGGAACTCACTCTGGCTAGTCAAGAACAATATACCTCTGGGACACCAGGCTTCACACCTTTTCTTTCTCTGGCTTTGGCCCTCTTGACCATAGTCTCACGAACTTGTTTGTTTCCCACTTGCCTGTGCCCTAATGTAAGTCTTCCCAGAGTGAAATGAAATAGGAGGCAGGCACTACCCTGCTGTCTGTTCCCAGGTTTGTCCCATATGTCCCCAGCCAGTTGGGTGAGATTTATTGACTTCAAACTTCGATCTCTTTTCCAGTACCTCAGTCCATCTTGACATTTCTATGTTATCATACATAACTATGATTTTTTGGGGGGGCTGGTTTCTCCTTATTTCTATTTCTTTTGGAAAGTTCAAGAGTTGGTCCATATTCCTACTTGGGCCATACCTGTCAATCCCAGTACCTGCTGTCTCCCCAAACACGGTCCTGTAGTAGCTAAACCATGTTAATGCTGAAACAAGTCATTTTCATCCATACACACACACACACAAACACACACACACACACACACACACACACATGCACGCATCTTGTCTTAGTCACTTTAGGCTGCTCTTTAAAAAATACCATAAACCAGGTGGCTTATAAACAACAGAAATATGTTGCTCCAGTTCTGGAGGCTGGAAGTCCGAGATGAGGGTGTCAGCATGCTCAGGTTCTATTAAGGGCCTCTTCCAGGTTGCAGAATGCCAAACTCTCACTGTATCCTCCCATGGAGGAAAAAGGGGCTAGAGAGCTCTCTGGGGTCCCTTTTATGAGGGCACTAATTCCATGCATAAGAGCTTCACTCTTATGACCTAATCACCTCCTGAAGGCCCCACCTCCTAATACCATCGCACTGTGGGTCAGCATTTCAACCTATGAATCTGGGGGAGAAGGGACCCAAACATTCAGTCCACTGCAATCCTCAAAGTGAATCTCATGCATTTTCATATTTCCCAAAACTTTCATTTGTGTATCCATCTGGACAACTCTGAGTTCTGCCTGGGGAGGAAGATTCCTGAAGACTCCCTGTTAGCTCCCAGTTAAAATAAGAGCATTTGAAAATCCCTTTCCCAGATGTGTGAAGTTATTTAACACCCTAGAAAATCAAGGGCAGGTCATAGCCTCAAATAGGGATTTCTCAAATCACCCATTTAAAAAGCTACCACATCTGGGCCGGGTGTGGTGGCTCATGCCTGTAATTCCAGCACTTTTGGAGGCCGAGGCGGGTGGATCACGAGGTCAGGAGTTCAAGACCAGCCTGGCCAAGATGATGAAACCCCATCTCTATTAAAAATACAAAAATTAGCCAGGCATGATGGCAGGTGCCTGTAATCCCAGCTATTTGGGAGGCTGAGGCAGAGAATTGCTCAAACCTGGGAGGCGGAGGTTGTAGTGAGCCGAGATCACGCCACTGCACTCCAGCCTGGGCTGTAAAGTGAGACTCCATCTCAAAAATAAAAAAATAAAAATAAATAAAAAGTTGCATCTGTATTAATTAGCTCAACCCCCTTTCTGGGCCTGAGACTGTATTCAGAACCTCGGATGGTCACTTGTTGTCCATGAGGATCATCGAGGCTTCATTCCTGTTCTTATGCATCCCTGCTTAGCGTCTGGAGCTGTAAGAACCAGGCCGGGGCCATGGAGAAGCATCAGGAAGCCTCTCTTCAGGAAAAGGAAAAGACAAACATGCAAGCTGATGACTTGCAAAGTGGCCACTCACCACGCTTTCTTGCAGCCTGAAGACAGGGACTCCATTCTTTTGAGCTATAAATGTTTTGTGGTCCAGTGATGAGTATGAAAACTCAAAGCTCAGCCTAATGATTCTAAGGGTGGTCTTGGCAAGCTGCATTGCTTCTGACCTGCAGTGGTTCTGACCTGTCCTACTCTGAGCAAATGCCTCAGGGCTCTGAGCTGCAGCTGCTTTCCTTTCCAGACAGGCCTCTCTGACCTGTCCTACTCTGAGCAAATGCCTCGGGGCTCTGAGCTGCAGCTGCTTTCCTTTCCAGACAGGCCTCTCTGGCCACACAGGGCTCTTGTGATGGTGCCTTCCTTTTAAGGCTCTCATGGGCAAATGCATTAACTGGCATTCTGTGTGTGTTTGTGTGTGTGTGTGTGTGTGTGTGTGTCCTCTGAGAGGCTTCAGGATATAACAGGAAGCATGTTCTGGGCTTGGAATAAGATCAGCCCTGGGTTAATATCGTGGCTCAGCTGCTCACTTGTTCTGTGACCTTGGGCAAGTTCTTTAACTTCCTTGAGTTTCTTTTTTCTGATCTGTCAAATAAGAAAAATGAAAGTCTACTTCCAGAGTGAATGTTAGGACTGGAATGAATATATTAGAGAAGATGAGCAGATGTTCAATAAATACAAGAAGATGAGGATCGCCATTGTTACTGCTACTACTGCTGCTCCACTCCCACTACTGTTATTATTACCATTAAGAATAATAGATCCAGGGCCCAACGTACAACCTAAGTATGGGTCTGAAAGCTCTAATAGACTTCGGATTCCTGATAAAGGAGATTCATGACATTTATCTCAGCAGTAACTAAAACAAGGGCATCGAACAAATAAAAATGTGTTGCGTTCCTTGTCATGGCATATCCAGGCACCTTGCAAACGTATCCAAATAAATTATGGGGTAACTTAACTGCAAGTCAATATATGTAAATCCCTCCCTGGCATAACTTTAAAGGAAGGGCAGCTTTTAATTGCATTGTACTATTAACCCATAAGCCAGAATAAGCGGCCTGCTTTGTACTTAAGAAAAAAAATTGCCTTTTGAGAAGCTCAATGCTTTGCAAAGATCTTACAAGTCACCCTTAAAACAGCTTAGTGGGTAGGAAGCATTCAGCAATATTCATTTGGAAAAAGTTAAAAAATAAACTGTGAAGTTGAGAACTTCTTTCTTTGATTGCCTGATCAAGCCAGGTATTTGTTAATACAAATCATGAATGAAACTCCAGATGGTGACAGGTAATCCCATCTGCTGCCAAACTGAGGGGGCTGGAGGCGTGAAAGATGACATGAATGAAACTGACCTCTATGGGCTGGAATATTGAGTTAAAACCAGTAAGAGGAGAGTTGAGAGCGGAAACGTAAACTTCCTCTTTTCAGTAAACCACACTCACGCATAAGATCAGGATGAAGAAGGGTCAGCTCAGCAAATATTTTGTAAAATAATGAGACATTTTAGATTTTAAGAGGCATGAATGATAGCAGGACACCTGATTTGCAGAATAGGTCCTTCTACTGAGAACCAATTAGATGACCTCTGGAGCAAGGTGAAGGTGGGGAGGGTTAGGGGCAATCCACTGAACATCTAGATGAGGCCGACTAGGATTTCCAAGGTCTAGACCATTTCACACAAGGAACAGTTTGTACCATTTGGCCTGAAAAAGAGGGTGGCAAAGGAAGGAGAGCTGCCTCCAAACTGGTAAAGAGCAGCAGGTGTAGGACTCAGCGTCTTGATGCTGTGTCAGCAGGGGTATCCAGGTGATATCACAAGGAGCCGATTCAACTCAATGAAGAGCTCACAGCTGTAACAGCACTCACAGGGGCTGCCGAGCAAGGCACAAGATCCGCTCCACCAGCAGCGAGAAGAGGCTGGATGGTCCAGAGCACAGAGGGGCTACCGTAATTCCTAAGGGTCCGTGCTATACTTATGTCTATATTACAAACCAACAAGGCGCTGGAAAACAACACAGTGAGATTCACGAGAGCTCACTAAGACTAGTTACAATATTTTTATCATTTATTTTGTTGTTAGATAAACCATAAAACCGTGGGACTTAGAGAGCCTATTATTCCATAAAGGCAGCTGTGATGCTCGAAGAACAGAACTGGAGCTCAGTGACTGGCCCAGGTATCAAAATAAACACGGTGCCTGAAGGGAAAAATAATATTTATAGGGCACCTCACAGCAGGCTGGCTATGGATGTGATGGTACACGATCTATATGATGTGTCATTTCCCCTGTTGATTTGATGGCCTTCTGCGGTTTCAGAAAGGACTTCAGGTAGATTGCAGGGATACATAATATATGTTTAGTTACAACTAGATTAAAAGCTGAATAAGAAAAGATAGAAATTTAGGAAAGGAAAATGAAATGGGGTCAGGAATAAGGATAAGGTATGTTGTACATAGAAATGACTTACACATTTACCACAGCAAACCATGTCTCTTTTGGTGCGTATGACTTCTGAGGAGTGATCATCTCATTTTACAGATGAGTTAACTGAGGCTCACAGACAAAGTAACGTCCCAAACACCTAACCGAGCGTATGTGCTGGGATTTTAATTGTGGTTTGACCAACCACAAAGCACAAAGCCTGTGCTTTCTGATGTTCTACCGCTGCCTCAGTAAGAGATGAGGATTAAGTAGAACCAATTATTTCTTGCTGAGAAAGGCAGGTCCAAGGATACAGATGCAGAGTTGATACTTTTGCAGACCAGTCACACAGAGTGATTCCTGCTAGGTAAAGCCTAGCACAGTACACTCGCATAGATGATGCTTAATACACATTTGCCATAAAGGATAGCACCCAGAACAATGTAACATTTTAAAACCAATCTGGATAGAATTCTAGATATGTAACCATCATGAAAGCTTTATTTCCCTTTCATCTAGCGCTGTAGGTCTAATGTATTTTACATTTTATAGAGGGTTTCTGACATATCAAAACAAAATCTCTGTTAATGGGAGTTTTCATTATTTTAGAAAGCTGAAAATAGTCAACTCCTTTAGAACAAAGATGTTTGCTGAGATAACTGGGCACATGTATCATGTAATTTCTGGCCTAAACATTTGTTTCATGTTAATGACAAAGTTTGGTTATTTAGTGACTGTTTATATACAAAGAGCAGGATGATAAATCATAATATCAGAATGTATTTCTAAAGCTTTCTAAAATGCTCTGACATTACGGGGATGTATAAACACAAAGCACTATTATACACTGCATTTGCTATTGTTGCCTGGAATTAAAATAAAGACACCAGGCAGAGCTCATCAAGACAGATTTTTAAAGACCTTGTTAGTCAAGACCACCTCAGTCTAGCAGTGAGTGTTCTCACCCCAGCAAACGTGAAGCCAGATTAGGATTTCTATTTCCTCTGACATAATACTGTTAGACTTAATTCACTTAAGAAATATTTACAGGCCAGGCGTGGTGGCTCACGCCTGTAATCTCAGCACTTTGGGAGGCTGAGGAGGGCGGATCACAAGATCAGGAATTCAAGACTAGCCTGAACAACATGGTGAAACCCCATCTCTACTAAAAACACAAAAATTATCCAGGTGTGGTGGCGGGCCTCTGTAATCCCAGCTACTCGGGAGGCTGAGGTAGAAGAATCACTTGAACTCGGGGGTGGAGGTTGCAGTGAGCTGAGATTGTGCCACTGCACTCCAGCCTGGGGAACAGAGTGAGACTCCGTCTCAAAAAAAAAAAAAAAAGTACAGAACACCTGCTTTTTGCAGGGCCCCATTAGGCATACAAAAATGAAAACTAAACAAGTTCAGAATTGAAGGTATATATAGACTACACCAACCTTGGGTAGAATTTACTGATGGCCATAGCAGCAAATTTATTTTTCCAAACATGACTGCTACAGTACCTCTCCATCCTACAAACCACCCTTGAATCTTACCATATATCTACCAAGAGGCAGAATATAATTCCCCTTTCTCTGAATCTGGGTGGGTGAGTGACTTACTTGTAGAAAATAGAATGGGAGAGAATCGATGCTGCAGAACTTCTGAGGCTAGGCCAGAAAAATCAATGTAACTTTTATTAATACCTTACTCACTAGAAAACTTTTGCTGAAGCCCTGAGGCCACCATGCTCTCAGGAAGCCAAAATTCTGACTCACCTAGAGATTACACAGAGAGGTTCTGAGGCTACACGAAAAGAGAGAAAGATGTCCAGTTAGTCCCCAGCAGTTCCGATTCCCTATTTCAGTCCCAGTCACCACCTTTATAAGGGTCTCCAAATCACAACCACTCAGCCCAGCCCTTCCCAAATTCCTGACCCATAGAAGCCATGAGATATGATAAATTGTTTCCTGTTGTTTTAAGACAAAAACTAAGGTTTATAGAGATTTGTTATTGAGTAATAGACAACAAGAACATAAAGGCAAACTGTTAGAGGAATTTAGGAAAGGAAAGATAATTTTTAATTGGGGTGATCAGGACAACTTCATGGCAGAGTTGCCATTTAAGTTGGGCTTTGCCAACTAGGTGTGGACAGGAAATGAAGAGGTTGAGGGAGGGAAGGTCATTCTATATGAAGAGTAAGATCCAAGGAGAGGTTCGGAATGGAAATTCACAGTATATGATGTGTGGGAAAGTGTTGTGGGAGATGGGCTAGAAAGTTCGAGAAAGAAGGGTCTATATCTGTGCTTTCCAATATGGTAGCCTCCCATCACAGGTGGCTATTTAAATTTAAGTGGATTAAAAGTAAATGGAATTTAAAATTCAGTTCCAGCCGGGTGCAGTGGCTCACGCCTGTAATCCCAGCACTTTGGGAGGCCAAGGCGAGTGGATCACAAGGTCAGGAGATCGAGACCATCCTGGCTAACACGGTGAAACCCCGTCTCTACTAAAAATACAAAAAAAAAAGAAAAAAAAATTAGTCAGGCGTGGTGGCGGGCACCTATAGTCCCAGCTACTCGGGAGGCTGAGGCAGGAGAATGGCGTGAACCTGGGAGGCGGAGCTTGCAGTGAGTGGAGATCGTGCCACTGCACTCCAGCCTGGGCAATAGAGCAAGACTCCATCTCAAAATAATAATAATAATAATAAAATAAAAATAAAATAAAATTCAGTTCCTCCATCAGACTAGCCCCATTTCAAGTGCTTGGTAGCCCTATGTGGCTGGTACCTGCCATATTGGAGAGCACAGACATAGAACATTTCCATTATCCAGAACTTCCTATTGGACAGTGCTGGTCTACATGGCATTTCTCCGTTTTCCTCAGGCACAATGAGCCACTGCAGGCTTTTGAGGAGAAGAGTGACAAGCTGAGAGCTGTGTTTTAGGACAGCTATCCTAGAGCTATGTGTGGGCAGAGAGTAGCAAGCAGGTTAGTTAGGAGGCTAGGGTAAAAAGGCAGACAGGGGACACATTTGTCATATGCCCTAGTGAGGCACAGAATCAGGGAACAGGAGGTCTGCAGGTTTCAGGACCGGCCAGTTCAGGGAGAAAAGGGACTAGCCGTGATTATCAGGTCACTGGTGATTTATTTATCACTTCCTTGAAGTATTAAAATGGTTTTGTTACACTGCAGCTCTCATTAGAGACCTGCACAAACAAAAGTCAGCTTTAAAAGATCTGCAATAAAAACCAAGGGACTGGAAAGTGAGGGAGCAGAGGTGAAAAGAAAGAGGAAGCCAGGAGAGGGGACTGCTAGGTGGCCTCCAACACACACCCCCAGCCTGGTGGCGGCAGTTCATGGTGGTAAATGTGCTCACTAAAGCTCCAGACGAGAATGTCTTTTCAGGCGGCCCTTTTAAAGTGATGGAACAACTAGTACAAAATTAAACAGGATAAATGACGTTAACTGACTGGTCCTTTGTATCAGACTCAAAAGACGGTAATTAGAACGGCCACATAGAAACTCTGCAGTCAGAACACTAAAACTCATTAATGAGGATTTGAAACTAAAAAAAAGTTTTAAATAGATAGAATGAGCTTTCCAGAGTGTTTGTAAGGACCAGATGAGATTTCCTGTCACTTCCTTTCCTGGTACCCACCACTCTACTGTTGTGATTTCCCTCGACTGATCTTTTCAGCAGATGGGCCAGAGGACGCTGCGTTCTGATGCCTTCACAAAAGGCAACAATAGACCTTCAGCAGACTGGGTTTTGCACCAAGAACTCTCTCCTGCAGCAGAATTGAAAATTTCCTTCCACTTGGCTCCTTTGGAAAGACCTAGGAAAGGGCAGGTTTCCTTGTACATACCCACAGACCCTGAAGCCCTCTTCCAACCCATGAGAAGGGCAGCCAGAGGCAGACACCCCACACACACATACAGGGAACCTAGTGCTAATATCTGTGTTATTTACTGATGAAAAGAATAAATGCGGCAGAATCACTTCTTTGTGGGACTGAATAAACATAAATCTTGCTCTAGAAGTCCGTATGTTTAAGTAACCCACATAAACTGACAATTCAGACCCAAACATCTCACTCAAAGATGGCTGAATTTTGGAAGTGAGGAGACTAAATAACAAAACACCTAACTCCTTTTGCGCAGGTGTTAGTATGCCTCCCTCCAATGTCATCTCTGCAAAAAGATTCCCCTTTCCACTGCGGACACTTAAAATCCTTTCTGACTCAACTGAGAGGTGTTTTACTTCTATTGAATCTTCCCATGCCAGAAAGACGGATTCCCTATCTGAG
The DNA here is from genome assembly GCF_000001405.40 of Homo sapiens. Lineage (NCBI taxonomy): Eukaryota > Metazoa > Chordata > Mammalia > Primates > Hominidae > Homo > Homo sapiens. Next base: position 233,088,293 of record NC_000001.11, read on the forward strand.
AATAGGAGGCAAAAAGAAATCTTTTGTACTGAGGACCAAGTTTTAAGTATGTTGTACTTTCCTTTCCTGTTTAGGTGAAAGCATGAGAAAATGCCCCTCCTCTTATTTACAAGTATTTGCACTTTCCAGAAGCATGACTTTCAGAGCTCCAAAAAGGTCCCCCAAATTATTTTCTCCTAAAAAAGCTTAAAGAGAAGCCAACTGTGGTAGTTTTTTTTTACTCTCTGGCTCTGTAAATATGCATGTCTCTTTAGACAAATGCAAATGAGCAGCCTTGTTATGTGTGAATTTCAAGACAACTTTACTTTTATTGCAAAATCTACCTCTCTTAGAAGACAAGAAATCTGCCAGAAACCTGAGGACCTCCTTCAACTCCTCACGGGCCCGAAGTAGGGCTCACTGATTTGGTTAGTTTTCACCAGGGCACCCCTAAATGTGAGATTGTCTGAAGGAGATCCCCCCGAGTCATGGTAAACACCTACTAGCATGGGTCAAGCTGGGACAGGAACCTCCCTGCGGAGCAGTCAGAGAATAATCATCCTAGCTCAGGCCCACGTGGTGCTTACTTTGTGGCAGCCCCTGCTCTCCGTGTTTTATGTATGTTAATTCATTTTCTCCTCACAAGTCTATGAAGTAGGTCTTATGATTTTACTTCCATTTTACAGATGAGGAAAAGGAGGCCTGAAATTATCAGTGTTAAGTGGGAGAGATGAGGTGTGAACTCAGGCAGGCTGTGTTCTAATCCCTAAGCCACACCACCTGTGCCAGAAGGATGCAAATTTTATAAACCATCTCTCGGGAGACACATGAAGCCAAAGGTCTAACTTAATGATGACCTCTGTGAGACATAAAAGACACATTGTAAAATGCTGGCACTCTGCAAAATGTAAACAAATTACGGAAAAAAGGATTAGGGTTTAAAAGTAATAAATAGCACAAGTATGGCTAATAAATTAGGGCAGAGGAGATTGAAATGGAAGACCTGCCCCAACACATGGAGCAATGCAAAGGTCTCTGTCCCAGCTGAAGCCAACACATGGAGCAATGCAAAGGTCTCTGTCCCAGCTGAAGACCTCCAGGTACACATGCTTTCCTTCCCTGCTAGCTATTCTCAAGACCTTCCCCACAAATCATTAAGAGGTCTTTACGGTTATTTGGTGAACCATTACTTCTCTCTTCTCACCTTCCCGTAAGAATAACACTCCTACTTCATCAATCACCAATTGCTTAAGGAAATTTATGACAGGTCCAAATAGTGAAGAAAAGGTGAAGAAATCATCTTCACTTTTATGCCGCAAGTTTTATGGCACTCAGAAAAGTTGGTGGTCTCTTTTCCATAGAGCTGTGATGGCTACCCACTTGTACAGGACTGTATATTTAGAATGCTCACAGAAGGGATGCTACAGACAGGAAAAAAGTATGCCATCCAGGGGCCATCTTGGCATATCAAAGGACATTAACAGTGGCTTGTACCTTCCCCTAGGTCACCTACGAAAATTTGGCAGTGATAACTCACTTTTCCTTCACAACTGGTGAAACCTGGACTAGTATTCGTTGGCTAATTTGAAATCAGTCATGTTCTTTCCAGATCCCTGAGACCCAAGAGCTGAGTCAATGAACTGAGGAGGTCATCAAGAGAGACAGGTTTGGCCTGGCCCCACAGCAGGGGGAAGCCTGGAGCCAGGGACCTCCTAACAGAGGAAGGCAGAGGAGCCTTCTGAAGTGCAAACTGGAGAAAAGCAATTGAGCACTGATTTTAGGATCTTACTTGTAGTTTTTCTCCCAGAATTTCACTGGCCTGACATATGATGTGATGAAAATGACACTCCCAAGAAATGGGCTCAATGGGGTAGAAAAGATTGATGTGGCAATCGTCTGAAAGAAAAGCATGGCAGAATCTGAGAATGTTGAGTTAAGGCAAAAAAAAAAATTATGATTCTTAGATTTTTAAAACATTATTTCAAATTTTGATGAGTTTTCACTAAAGTCATTTTTTCCACCAAAGAAAGAACAAAGAACACACACTTAATCTCTCTATGTATAGATTTATAAATATAAAACTTTCAGTAGTACCCTGCTAGGTCTCATTTCACCACCACGTAAACCAAATGATTCTCATAAAAATCTCAGCAGTCTTAGTCTGATTCATGGCAAAGGTTTAATATCTAAGGATTGAAAAGAACAGTTTCTTTTCACTAAGATTATTAGCTGAACAAAACACACTAGGGTACATTTGCTAAAGTATCAAGTAGCTTTGTAAATAATTAATATTAGATGATACTTTTTGAAAATAAATAATATAACTGTTTGGGAAGGTAGCATCTCTGTTTCTTGAAGAATGTTTTCCCACTGTTTGAAATATCTATCCATCTATCTATCTAGGTAGATGGATACACAGATAAACAGATATCGTATGTTGAACACCACTGGTTCAATTCAAGTCATATCTAGTTTTTAAGCAAAAAACACCACATGCACATGAAGTAAGTGTTTTGTGGGCCAAGTTGCTTCTTTAGGCATTCTTATATGAGTTTCTCACGTACTGGCATGCATCAATTTCACACACCTTGCTTGATCAAAGAGGTAATTGCTCAATATTAAACTTAGCATGTCTGTTGCTTTTGGCTTAAGCCCAATGGATCCTTGGTGATTAGTCGCGAGGAGCCAGAAGCAACAGTTCTCTGAGCAAGCTGGTCCCTTCAGGTCTCACTCCATCACTGAAGACTCCTAGCTGCCAATCACTCACCATCATTGTGGTGCAGAGGTTCTGTGGGGCCTGTGGTTGGAAGCACAAGAGAGAACTGCTGGCCAGAATCCATGGGGGTGGCAGAAGTCAGTGGAGAGCCAGACTGCCCAGGTCGTATAATATCGACATCCTTCCTGGTCCTAGGGTATTAGGACTTGGATCATTCTACTACAGATCTGATCTGACCTCCTACAAGGCTGATCTTCCTGCTGGGAAGTTGTTGACAGCTGTATCTCTCTCACTGCTGAACTAAGGAGGATCTTATTTCTGTAACCCATGTTGCAAAAGTTCTGTCAGAGAGTAAAAAAGAAATGCTTGGCACAGACAGGAAGACTCTGCATTTCATTATCAAGAATATAGAAGTAACTCGGACTTCTAAGTAGTTTAACATAACGTTAAACAAATTATGTGATAAAGGGGTGGGGGTGGAAGTGGGGATTCCCTAACAGCCCTATTTATATGTAAGATATAAAAAAGGGAGTGAGTCTTGTGCTGTCCACACTTTCACATACATTTTCGTAGATTTAAAATCAGATTAAAAAAACGTAGCCAGGCATTGTGGTGCACACCTGCAGTCCCAGCCACACAGGAGGCGGAGGTGAGAGGATCTCTTGAGCCCAGGAGTTTGAGGCTGCAGTGAGCTAGAATTGCACTGTTGCACTCCAGCCTGGGCAACAGAGTGAGACCCTCCCTCAAAAAAAAAAAAAAAAATCATGATTTTTTTTTTTTCAAGAGTGACTTTTTTTTTTAAAACTTTCTATTTACTCCCAAGCATTTTCAAGAGTAAAATGTCACATCCTCCATTAATAATCCATTCCAATGTTGAATTGTTTAGGTATCAAAAAGATCTCTATTGTGCTGCAATTTAAATCCAATTCTTTTTATTTTGACCTAGGTTCAAATAGAGAACTACAGAACAATATGCTACTGTGATATCTATTATCACCCATCAGTTTCCTCTTCTGAAAGCTGAAAATACCTAAATACTTCTGCCACAAAACACAACAAATTAGCTATTATGCTCCTCATCATTGGAAGAAAAGGGAATTGCATGCAAGATATCATTGAGTGAAGGTATTGAAAAAAATATTAGAAAGCAGAGTCAGGTCAGAGGTGGAGTTTTCTGAGGGGCTGTGTTGAGAAGAATGGAAGAGGGAGAAGTCCCCACATCAGGGGACAGAGGGTGTGATGGGGCTTGCAGAGGAACCAGGACAAAACCAAGTGGAGCCAGGGCTGGGCAGATGTGCTAATATGTGATCATCTGGCTAAGTCTGTCTAATTTTTAGAAGACAGTAGTCTTGCATGGTCTCTACACATATTAAAAGGGGGGCTGATGTGGCTCTTGTTTTTGATTCTAAAATTTCCCCAGAGATTACACTGTACATTTTTTAAATGCCAGAAACAATTATCCAAAATTTAAGAAGTGAGGAAACTGTGCTAGTCTAAAAATAAAGTTCAATGTGGTAGGAAAGGAAATGACGTTTAACAGGTTAGAGGGAGGGTGGCAGTGAATAGAGAGGATCTTTTTTGGGGGGAAGATCAGTAAAGAATTATAGCACACTCTGGGCAAATATGAAAGTCTGTCACTACTACTGGCAAGGCAGTACCAAGAAAGAAGAGCTACTAAGAGGAGCAGGCACATAAAGCCCTCTTTATTTCTTTCTAAGAGAAATAGCTGAGAGATTAACCTGAGGGGTAGATGCTCACTCCTTTAAAAGCACACTTAAAATGAAAACATCAATTATTTGTTTTGTTTGTTTTTTGTTTTTGTTTTTTTTGAAATGAAGTCTCGCTCTGTCACCCAGGCTAGAGTGCGGTGGCACCATCTCAGCTCACTGCAACCTCCGCCTCCCAGGTTCAAGCGATTCTCTTGCCTCAGCCTCCCCAGTAGCTGGGTACACAGGCGCCCACTACCATGCCCGGCTAATTTTTTTGTATTTTTAGTAGAGACGGGGTTTCACCGTGTTAGCCAGGATGGTCTCAATCTCCTGACCTCATGATCTGCCCTCCTTGGCCTCCCAAAGTGCTGGGATTACAGGCGTGAGCCACTGTGCCCAGCCAGAAAACATCAATTATTAACAGATTTTTAAAAATCATTAGAAGCGCAGAAGGATGCACCAAGTAGAAAGCAGCCCTCCCAATCTCCGGGTTTACTATAGAGAATCTGGCTAAGTATTTCTAATTATTAGAAGACAATGGTCTTGCATGGTCTCTACACATATTAAAAGGGTGAATATTCTCATCTTTCCCTGGAGGTTACAAGCTCAGAAGCTAACAGAGGCTATGGAGGGAGAAAACATGCTAGTACTGGAAAAAGCAATTTACCAAACAGTGCCCTGCTGGCCTGAAAGCTAATTCAATTCCAAAACAGAGCAAATTAGTCCCTTTTCAATGCTGAGATGGAGCCCACAGCTTCTTAATAGAGTGATAAAATAATTAACATTTCACAATAAGCCAAGATCCAGGGCTGACACTTAATAACTTAATAGCTTTGTCTGGGTGGCATGTATATCTAGTTTTTCAACTATTGATCTCATTATATTCTGAACAGCATGATGTTGGACTCCAAGGAACAAATATCTACCTTTACAACTGATGAAGGATGAGGGGGCCGTCCATGGGTACGGGGGAGAGGGTAAAGATCCTGTCAGTGGCCAGCCTCCAGCCTCCAGGGAGGTCAATTTGAAGGCTCTGTATCTTAGCAGAAGGGGTGGAAGTGGGTGTCACTAACAGGGCCAGGCTTAGGAACAAAACAAGGGGATCCACTGAGTGCTGTAAAATGGAACCACCAAATGCCCAATAAAATCTGCATCTCGAATGTTTCCATGTTGTAAGACAATTAGTCTGTATATCATGAAAGTATGTAAATTTAATGCTCACTGTGCACAAGCTGAGATAAATCCTAACGCTGTCTTTATTCTTATAGGACTTATTAAGTGCCAAATACCATGTGCTCATGTGTGAACCCTCAACACGAATATAGGGCAAGTATTTGAAAATTATGGTTCCCACAACAGTCTTAATTCAGTCGTGGAACTCCAAGGAATAATCAGTAATATTGAATTCACCTAACAAGGCATAAACACCAACAAGAAATGCTACAGACAGATGCAAGTCCAAAGTTATGACATCAGGAATTATAACCTCAAGTTTTAAATTCTTGGTGTAACTCCTCAACAACAAATTTGCATTAATCTAATCATTTTCATTTAATAAACATGCTTTAAATTCTAAAGAGGAAACTTTAGAAATACGTCAGAAAGAGATTAAAAATCAACTCAATATTTCACCTGTTTTTGTTTTAAAGGACTCTGGAAAACTGAAATTACTGGCTTTATAGAAAATGATTGCAGCTAAAGGGAAAGGGTGGTGCACAAGCTCAGGCTTTGCAAACATGTATATAATTTTCCTTAGCTTGTTCTGCCAAATGACCTTGAAACACTTTAGAAATATCAATGCACATCTAAGAATAGCAACATAGAACAATGTGTATTGTGAGATCCACTCTTCGTATGCTTAACATTTTTTTTAAAAAAAGTTAGGGCCTGGAAGAAATCATTTTTCAAAATATAAAATATATTATCACTCAAGGATTATCCTAAGTATGTTTCCATTCCTGTACACCAAGTTAAGGTCATAGAGATTCCTTAAGAATTGTCTTAATGAGCCTTATGTAAATTTCATATGGAAGAGAGTTCTGAGTGGTCATTCAAGTTAGCTAACAGCAGCCCTGATGGATTGCCAGAGTTGAGAACTGTGGTTTACACACACTGATGGCATAAGAATCACCAAGAAAGCTTGTGGAAAGACAGATTCTAGGATCCCGCCCAGTGAAATTTGATTTAAAAAGTATGAGTTGGGTCCAGGAATCTACTTAGTTAATTAGTTCCTCCAGGGATTCTGATGCAAGTGGTCCCTGTTTCCTGGGAAACACACAGGTTTAAAAACTCTAAATTCACTGGGAAGGAAAACCTTTGAGGACATATTTTAGGCCTGAGTCAAATTTTAATTAATCTCTTTCTTCAAGAGTATTTTTAAAGCAATTTCTCTCTCCGCTTCCCCTTACCCACGCGTGCACATATATAAAACTTAGCTATCAATGTCAAAGTGATGTTTAGAAGGAGCATCTCAAAATTTGTTATGAAGTAAATTAAAACTATTATGTAAACATTGTAAAACACACATGGAAACCAAGGCTTCTTGGCTAATAGCCACTAAAAGACCATAATTTAATTTTTTAGTCTTCCCAATGCTGTTTGTACCTAATCTTGTGTTTCTGAATATTACTGAAGTATAATATGATAACCATACTATAAAATAATATACACTTGATAAAAATGTATTGAATGCATTAAACCTATCCACAATGCTTAATAACAGCAAATTTATTTGCACTATTTTGCACAAGGCAACCCAATCATTTAAGCAGTTTAAAAGACAGGGTACCTTAATGCAGATCTGGGCATGGGAAATGGAAGGACCAGAAAAAATAAAAGTAACTCCTGAATATGCATTAAGAAGCAGGAAGAGTTCAAAATAAAGAAATATCTTTTAAGGCTAAGTGGCCTAAAGGGATCCAAAGTGCCTCTTCATGTCCCCATTAAAATGTAATCTTATAGACTTTAAAATCTTTTTATTGCCAGGGGTCAATGAAAAGCTTGCTTCCGTAAAATGTGAATCTCAGCTGGAGGGTGAAAATAGAAGCAGAAAGGATACGAGGAATGGCAAAGAGCTGAGCAAACACGTGAAACGAAGAACCCCAAGCCATCTGCCAAGGAGCCACATATGTCAGGACGAACTGTAACTTGTGAAGCAGGTCCCCGAGCTGAAAGTAAAAGAAAAAAAATTCATCAGAGAGGACAATGACAACAGTGGTAACTGCATCAAGGTCACTTAAAGGACATTTGTCAAGGTTAGGAAGGGGCAGTGAAACTACTCTCTGCCCTCTTACTGTGATCTTCCTGCATCTCATGTGGAATGCAGCCATTTAATGATATTTTGAAACAGCAATAGGCTGATCAGAAGAAATCTTGCATGGTTAATCTCAACGGATTTATTATTTCAACCTATATATATGGTGTATCTCTTTGCCTTTCTCAGAAGAACAATCACACCTTGGTCTTTCCTCCTTCATATTGGATCTTTTGGAGGGAGTACACACAGAAACCTATCATCATTTGACATTGTTGAGGTTTTTGCGTGTTAATTTCATTTTACCTCTTCAGCTGCTCCTACTGGAGAAAATAGCTCCATATCATTGAAATGCAAGTTACAAAGTACTTTAGAAAGCTAAGACAGGATATGAAGCTATTGCATTGGCCAGACAAGCCAGCACAAGGAAAAATCGAGTTTTGGGAAGATATGGAAAATACAGAAGAGAGACCTCACATACGGTGAACAGTTCAGTGGTTTGACTGGAGATGGAGATGATGACTGTGTAGGGAAGGATAGAGAAGGATGGACTACTCTGTCTTTAGATCTCTGCATTGTGGTAAGAAGTGACTAATGAATCCCAGATGCAAAATTCTGCTGCTGTCACTTCTAGATGCGGTCAGTCAGTATCCCACCAGGATTTCTCTCCCCAAAATCCACATCTGATCTTCTTCCATAATGAAAACTTCAAATAGCATGCCATGTTTGTTCCTAGACTGACTAGCATTTGAGACAATAAAATACATTCACCAAGGCCATGATGTGAAATGAGAAGAAAAAATATAATTTTTAATTAGGCTCAATAGCCATTATATAAAACAGAAGGTCACAATGAAAACAGGGCAAGGGTTGGGCAATGGGGCCATTAAGAAAGTATTCAAGGAACCAAGATAACTGAGCCCTTCCATGAAAAGCCAACCTGGTGATTTTGGAACCCAAAGATGAGGTGACCCTGATTTGTTCCATGAAATGTAATGAGGCAAAAGGAGGTTAATTAGAATCCTCTCCAAATCTCTGCCTCACTTTTCTGGTCTCTACTGATTCTCATAAATATTCTGGTTTAGGAGAAAAACTTTAAAGTAGAATAAAACATTATTGGGTAGGCCATAGTATATGAACCAAGAATAAAAGGTCTCTCAAAGGCACAGCAAACAGAGAGAATCCTTAAGAAGTCACAGGCATCTGGTTATGCATAGAACCCCTGACCTAAAAACATGTCTACCAGAGCCTCTAGTTACAAACCTAGCACTGAGTTTTAGGTGAAAGCTGAAGAATTTTAGATAGAAGAGAATGGAAGAATGATAGGGAGTGTGGCAGACAGTGAGAGGGAAAGAAAAAAATAGGGGAAACAGGGAAGATAAAGGGAGGATTAAAAAAAAAAAGCAAAGAAATGAAAAATGACAGGAAAACTAGATGATGTGATCAGGCTTGGGGAGCTATAAGGAAATATCAATTCCAGGAAAGGAAAAGAGGAGTTTGTTTTTTGCTCATAACTTTTCACTTTCTTTACTCTTACTCACTTGCATCAACCATAGAGGATTGATCTCGATTGGTTTCCAAGATCTTTCAGAAAGGCCACTTTTGTTTTAATCCTGGAGTTGATTTCAGCCTCCTGAATCCATTTTAGATGGGACTCCACAGCCCCCAGTGCCTTTGAGAGTATGTCAGTTGAAAGAACAACCCGTCACTCTGTCAACCTGAGGTCCAGTCTTACAAGTTTACATAAAATATAGTCATTTCCCTACCATCTTACTTTTTACCAGTCATTAGGTGACTCCTACAGATCAAGAAACGGATAGTTCTAACACAACTTCAAACTCTTGACTCACTTCTGTGAAGAGACACGATTTGCATTAAAAGTGAATATCATTTCCTTTTATCTCCACCATTAACCCAACTAGAAGGGGAACACATCAAGTGCCCAAGAGAAGACATGACTTCTGGGTTACCAACCAGGGCAAAAGTCTTGAAAAGTGGTGGTGGGCTCTCCTGCACATGTGTACCTAATCAAACTCTATCAGAAAAAATACCTCTGGATTTGAAATCTTCTAGTCACCCCCCTATTAAGAATTCTTAGTTGAGTTATTAAGAATTAATCTTGTGACTCATGTCTAGGTGAAAACTGCAAGCATGAACAAGATTACCTCATATGATGTATTGCCCCCAAATGCCCTAAAAAATGAATCATGAGTTATGGAAAGTTACTCCTGTTAGGCTTTCTGTGTATTCCTGTATCCTGGGAGGCATTTAAGCCACCTTTTGAAAAAGCTGATAAGTAGGTCAGCTACAGCAACTATAATCAGACTGGCTGCCCCAGGGAAAGCTTCATCTGCAAGTTGGAAGCTCTAACAAGTTAAACTTTGCTGCGTTATGATTAAATGAATCCATTACAATTATTTTCTGCTTAGCACAGCAACTTGTATTTACACATAAGAAAAACCAGTAATCAGACATCTAAGGATTCCAGATATAAGCACTCTCCTGCTCTAATTGCAGCCAAAGCCCCAGGTATCCTTGTTCTTTTCCTATGACTCTCTATGCCTTCTTTTTTTTTTCATGAACTTTGTGAAGAATAAAATACATGCTTTGTAAAGCCTTTCAACATGAAGCTCATAAAATAGACTCCACTGTTCTCAATCATTGAAGAAGCCAGATCTCCTGAATGTCATTTCTTTATGTAGTAATGATTCCTCTACAACACAGTAATTTTAATGCTCCTCTATGAAGCCCACCAGAAAAAGGATGTGTTCTAGATGAGTCAGATGCTAACACATGCCAATATTTAAAAGCATCAGCTTAAGGGCACGCTGCCTGAGTTTGAATCCCACCTCTACCTCTGGTCATATATTTCTGGATCTATAAAATGGCGATGATAATATTACCCCCTCAAAGTGTCATCTGAGGATAAAATGGCTTCATCTTTGTTAAAAGCTTAGAACAGTGCCTGGCAAACATAAATGTTACAAAAGAGTTTGATAAATGTTAGGACAAGTGGATATCTTATTCACAACCTAGTAATTTTAGAGCCCTCTTCTTCCCAAAACTGAAACTTACCAAGTCCAGGTCCTCTCATTTTTCAGAGAAGGAAACCAGGCTCAGAGAGATTAAGTGGATTGCTTAGGTCAGACAGCAAGTTACTGGCCCATCTGAAACCAGAGATCAAAGTTCCTGATTCTCCACCCAGTGATATTTCTTTCACCCAACTTTACCATGCCTCCTTGAGGCCATGGGCCTTCTGTGAACTACAGCAATAGGAAGAACCTGCCTGACATGCAGCAGCTACAGAAAGGTCCCCTTTATCCAAGATTTCCTGCTGACAGCAGAGGGGCAGGATCACAAGCATGAACATCACACACTATAGCAGCAGCCATGATTCAGAAAAATTATGGCTGCAGCCACGTTCTTTCAGGTACACAGTAAAAAAGGACCTGATCTGCCCTGAAACATCCTTTTCAGTAAAAAAAGCCTAATTAATAAAATATGATACTACCCAAAAAGCCTGATGACACTCGAGGGATCTCAAAACGGCCGACTGCTGGCTTACTTGTGCTTCTCGAATGTACAACTCCAAAAAGATTGATTTGGCTCATGTATTTTATTCTTACAGTGTGGAGAGACATGATCCAGGTTTAAAAAGACTCAACTTCATATTTTCCCTTTACACTTTCCCCTTCTCTTTAAGGGTAAAATCAGGTAAAATAATTTAAAATGAGTGTGTATCAAAACAGCAATTTCTAAGCACAAAAGAAAACCTAAATATTGATCATCAATGAGAAAAGTATATGAAGAGGGACCTCCTGCACCACACTGGCCATTGTGTATAAAATAATGAAACATTTAAGATAAGACTTAATGGAAACAGCCACACCAACACCTTTCCAGTAAGCAGGGCCGCAAGCACTATAATATTGTATTGAAGTACTTTAAATAGAAATCTCATTTAGATTAGCTATGAACTTGCATCTCCTTAGACAGTTTGAGGTCTTTGTTTTTATGAAGCTTATCTCACTCCTAACATTCTACTTCCAAGATCTTAAATCTCAGCGCTATGAAAATGCATAATAAACTTTACAAGTTACTGGAATATAAGAGAAAACAAAATCATTTGGGTTTTTTTCCACTTAAAACACTAGGAAAAGAGTAAAGAAAATCACAATGAGGGCCGGGCGCGGGGGCTCACGCCTGTAATCCCAGCACTTTGGGAGGCCATGGCAGGCAGATCACCAGAGGTCAGGAGTTCCAGAACAGCCTGGCCAATGTGGTGAAACCCCATCTCTACTAAAAATACAAAAATTAGCCGAGCGTGGTGGCTCGCACCTATAATCCCATCCCAGCTACTCAGGAGGCTGAGGCAGAAGAATCACTTGAACCTGGGAAGCAGAAGTTTCAGTGAGCTGAGATCGTGCCACTGCACTCCAGCCTGGGTGACAGAGAGAGATTCTGTCTCAAAAAAAAAAAAAAAAAAAAAAGAAAATCACAATGGAGTAATTATGGCTGTTTCCCAAGGAAAGTCACCATAAATACTCTCATTTCAAATGACCTATTTTGGAAATATCTTTTCAATTAGACCTAGACATGCTGTTATATCTCTGCTATAGATAGTAAATACACAAACCAGCTTGAGAGAAATGTCTCCAAATAAAGGTGACCCCAAAACTTTTCTTTGCTAATACACTTGCAATAAGGCATATGCTATCTTCAGTCTGGAGACACCCCTCCCACACACACTGTCTTTCCCTCAATGAAATAACTGGCTACTTACAGAATTTTCTTATATTTGGGCATTGTCTTAGGAAGCTATACATCCATTTGATTAAAGTGCAATTTTCTCTCCAAATCCCACTCATCACCTTTTCGCCTATTTCTCCATCCTTACTAATCTCCCAGATTCATTCTATCATTTGCCATTTTTTGCATTTTGTTGTATTCAGTTAGTTCTTTCTCAGCTTCAGTTAATTTCACCCCAAATTTGGAATTACCAATATTTGAACTTAACGGGGTATACAAGGCTGAATGGCATCGCAGAAACTGGCTGCTGAGTTAAAGATGCATGCAGTTCAAAGTGAGAGAACAGGAAGAAGCTGAGGCTCTTGAGTGCTTGGAAAGGAGCAGACAAGATGAGAAGAAATTTGGAGGTTCACAGGGAACCACGTTAATGAATTGAGGAGGGAGCCCAGCTGAGGGATTAAAAGCCGGAAACAAAGGAATTGTGGAAAACCATCAGATGTTTTGAGGCATAGGTGGTGATATGGGGAAAAGAAAAATGTTCAAGAAGGAATAGAAAAAGTAAAGCTAGTGACATCTCAAATGTAGGCCACCATTTCTGGGGGAGGGGAAGCACCACTCTTCCAGAATAACAAGTTGTTAACAGAAAATATGATCATTCAATTTGGGGATATTAAATATTTCCAAATAGTAGCTGACAATATGAGATAGAATTTTGTAAAGTAAAAAACATCTTCAGACAATGGTTATAACTCATTACAAGAGTGACTCTCAGGCCAGAAGCAGATTCTACCTCAGTAGACAATGTGTGTTGGGAGCCCATTAAATAGCATCCATCAGACTTTGCAAAATATTGATAGGCTTCATGGAGCATGGTAATGCATAAGGGATACCATCCATGATAAAAATAATATAATCAAAAAAGTTGTAAGAAAAAAATAAATTAATAGTTAACTCAAAAAAGGGGGCACTCCCCCAGCCCCTGTAACAGTCAGAAGCAAAGAGGTAATTTGAAATAAGAATGGTTAAGTCTGAACTGACACCATGCCAACCCAAAGGGAACACAGACATGGATATAGGTCTTAGGAGCTGAGGAATTGGGTTTTAGCATATTTGAATAGGTTCCATGTCCATAAAGAGCAAATTATAAAAAACTTCATTTACCAGTGCTGGAAAAAAGCAAAAAGAGTTTGCCTTCTGCCTGCTGTAGAGTAGATAAAAATCTGTCATCCATGATAAACCAAAACCTCAAGTCCTCATAATACAGGGCAGTGGGATTTAAATTTAAACTGTTCCAGTAAGGTGAAAATTTAAAAACAAGAAACTAACATAAAAAGTAGTGGAGGATGATAAAACTTCCTCACAGGAGTAAATGCATGAGATTCATTTTTCTTTTTTTTTTTTTTTTTTGGCTCCCATGAGTGACAACATACAACATTTGTCTTTCTGTGCCTGGTTTATCTCACTTAACATAATGTCCTCCAGTTCCAATCATGTTGTTGCAAATTGACAGGATTTTATTTGTTTTATGGTTGAATAAATTCCATTGTGTATATATACACGGTTTCTTTATCCATTCATCTGCTGATGGGGACTGAGGTTGATTCCATATTTTGGCTGTTGTGAATAGTGCTATCATAAACATGGGGGCACAGATATCTTTTTAATATGGCGATTTCTTTTCTTTTGGATAGATAGCCAGCCTTGGGATTGCCAGATGACATTTCAGTTCTAGTTTTAGCTTTTTGAGGACCCTGCATACTGTTTTCCATAGTGACTGTATTCATTCACTTTCCCGCCAACAGGGTATAAGTGCTTCCCTTACTTGCTAGCCTTTGTAACATTCTGATAACAGCCATTTTAACTGGGGTGAGATGATAGCTGATTGTGGTTTTGAGTTTCACTTCTCTGATGATTAGTGATGTAGAGCACTTTTTCATATACTTGTTGCCCATTTGTATGTCTTCTTTTGAGAAATGTCTATTCAGAACTTTTGCCCATTTCTAAATTGTTATTAATTTTTTTTGCTATTTAGTTGTTTGAGTTCCTAATATATTGTCGTTATTAATCCCTTGTGAGTTGAATATTTTGTAAATATTTCTCTCCCATTTTGTGGGGTTGTCTCTTCACTTTGTTTATTCTTTCCTTTGCTGTGCAGAAGCTTTTTAGCTTGATATAATCCCATTTCTCAATTTTGGCCTCGGTTGTCTGTGCTTTTGAGGCCTTACTCAATAAATCTTTGCCCAGTCCAAGGTCCTGAAGCATTTCCCCAGTGTTTTCTTCTAGTATTGTTTCATAGTTTCAGGTCTTATATTATTTAAGTCTTTAATCTACTTTGATTTGAGTTTTGTGTATGGTGAGAGATAGGATGAAACTAGATGTTTCATCCCTCTGAATATACATATCCAGTTTTTCCAGCATCATTTATAATGTTTTTAAGTTTTTAACTTTTGTGAGTGCATGGTAGGTGTATATATTTATGGGATACATGAGATATTTTGGTATAGGCATGCAATACGTAATAATCACATCATGGAAAATTGGGTATCTATTCCCTCAAGCATTTATCCTTTGTGTTATAAATAATCCAGTTATATTCTTTTAGTTCCTTTCAAATGTACAATTAATTTATTATTGACTACAGTCTCCTTGTTATGTTATCAAACACAAGGTATTATTCACTTTTTCTATTTTTTTTATACCCATTAACCATCACCACCTCCTCCCAATGTGCCCTTAATACCCCCAACCCAGCCTCTGGTAACCATCCTTCTATTCTCTATCTCTAAGAGTTCAATTGTTTTGATTTGTACATCCCACAAATAGATGAGAATATATAATGTTTATCTTTCTGTGCCCAGCTTTTTTTACTTAACATAATGACCTCCAGTTCCATCCATGTTGTTGCAAATGATAGAATTCTTTTTTATGGCTGAATAGTACTCCATTGTGTATAAGTACCACATTTTAAAAAATCCATTTACCTATTGATGGACACCTCAGTTGCTTCCAAATCTTGGCTATTGTGAATAGTGCTGCAACAAACATAGGAGTGCAGATATCTCTTCAATATACTGATTTCCCTTCTTTGGGGGCATACAGCCAGCAGTGGGATTGCTGGATCATATGGAAACTCTATTTTTAGTTTTTTGAGGAACTTCCAAACTGTTCTCTATAGTGGTTTACTAATTAACATTCCCACCAATAATGCAAGAGGGTTCTC
Organism: Homo sapiens; assembly: GCF_000001405.40. Lineage (NCBI taxonomy): Eukaryota > Metazoa > Chordata > Mammalia > Primates > Hominidae > Homo > Homo sapiens. The sequence goes on from NC_000001.11 coordinate 233,103,919, forward strand.
ATTTCTCCACATCCTCACCAGCATTTGTTATCATCTGACTTTTGGATAAAAGCCAGGTGATGCTGATGCTGCCAGTCTGGGGACCACATATTGCAAATCATTGCACTAAAGGGCTAGAAACACAGTATTCAATTTTCAAAGTACTAGAGGAAAAAAAGGACCAAAAAATTTCATTTTGTTCAATAGATGGTAAGAAAGAAAAGGTGGAGAGACAAAGAAAAAGCATCATGAACATAAAGCCAACAAAAAATACCATGGTAGAAAAAAGTCCAAACATATCAGTAATCTCAGTAAATGTAAACAGATAAAATTTGCCTATCAAAATACAGACTCTCGGTCTGCCTTAAAAATAAAAATCTTGTTAGATTTAGAAGAAATATTAAAGTCACCTAAAAATTTTAGGCAAAATAATTTTTAAAAAATCAATACATTTTTACCAAAATAAAGTTTCCTTACCTCTTTTAATAGTAAGCAAAATATTGAGGCTTTTACTCAAAATAGAATACATAGCAGTACATAATGATGAAAGGAGAGTGTCACCAGGAAGATAAAATAATTGAAATGTATACACTTAGCCATGTAGTCTCAAAAATATCTGAAGTAAAAATAGGTAGAATTACAAGGAAAGATTAATAAATCTATAATCATAGGGGAAGCTTTTAAGATACCTAGCTCAGAAAATGATAGTTCAATTAGACAATAAATAAGCATATGAAATATTTGACCGACAGAATTAACAAGCTTCATCTAAGAGATATGTATATTAGAACCTTACACCAACCAAAAGAGAAAGAATATAATTTTCAAACATAGGTACATTTAAAACAATTGATGCCTTACTAAAGTACAAAAGTAGTCTGATCCATGCCAAAAATTAATATCATGCACAGTTTTACAATTAAATTAGAAGTCAATAATAAAAAGTTGGCAAAATAACAATTGTAATAATCACAATCCTTTGGATTTGCATGTAATAAAAACAATGGAAATAACAGTTAAGAATAAATTATAATGAAAATTAGAACATATTTTAAAATGAATGACAATGAAAAGCAGTAGTACCAACTAGAACTTTTAGAACCCAGGTAAAGCAATCTGTAGAGGAGAAGATATTGCCTTAAAATGTGCATCTTAGAAAAACTTCACAGTCCATATTGGCAGGCTATTTCCTAATGTAAAAATTCAACAAGGATATTATGAGAAAGAAAATATATTCTTATCTATGAATATAAATGAAAAAACTCTGAATGAACTATTTACAAAATGAATCTATAAATGTATAAAAACACATCATCATCAAATCTGGTCCACTTCATAATGATATAGTATTAGGAAAAGATGTTAATGTAATTCACAAAATTGAGAAAGTAAAAAAGAAAAACTGTATGTTGCTCAATTGGTGCAGAAAGGACGTTGAAAAATAAATTCAACACCCATTCATAAACATCCCTTACAAACTAGTAATAAAAGAGTTCTTTTTAAACCTCATAGAGGATACCAGAGCTATGTTGCAATAAACACTGTATTTAGCAATAGAATTTCAGGATTATTCAGACAAGAGGCATTAAACAAGATGAATCTGATTAACCTAAAACAGAAGAGTGAAAAGAAAATTACTAAGGGAGACTAAAATATAAGGAGAGAGAAAGGAACATGGGGTAATAGTTTATCACCTGTGAAGTACAGTTTGGGAGATTTTAACTAAAAAGAAAAACAGAAACAATGCAGGGATGATAGTATCCAGCAGGAGTAGGCTACTTAGGCAAGTAAATGTGGCGTTAATAAAGGAAACGCAACAAGCCCTGATTCTTTGATTAGCTGACCTTATGCAGCCAGACACATTCAGACCCTTAAGAGAACACACTAGACAGAAAATATTATTTTAAGGTCATATTTCATGACTGCTAATTAGTGTATCCATAAACACAAATGAAGTCGACATTGCACATTGAAATTGTATAATCTACCAAGATGTAGGAATGCACAAAACTCAAAGGTCTCCTCTGGACTCCTGAGAATTAGGATCTAAATGTAATCCTGGGTCTGTGTGTTTCTGCATGTGTTGGGGTCTGGAGCTTTAGCTTAAGGATGTATGGGGAGGTGGGCCATTGAGGAAGGAAGCAAGGGTGGACTTCAATAAAGAAGAAACAGGAGATAATGACAGTGACTGACGAGGGAGAGATGCTTTTGTTCTCTAAGTATCCTGCTCATTTCACCTTGGAGTGAAGTGGTAGAAACAACACAGTTTATGCACACACTCTGTCTTCCTTTACAGTTTCCTGCATCTTTAATTCCATGTTAGCCTTCCTCTAACTATTCCATATATGAAACAGCTTCTCCATCTTTGAGTTGTATTCTATTTAGCTCTCTCTTCCTTGTGGAGAAGAAGCAGCTTCCTGGATTCTGTTGGGGGCTTCCTCTCCTCCCTCTTTTTTTTTTTTTTTTTTTTTTTGAGATGGAATCTCGCTGTGTTGCCCAGTCTGGAATGCAGTGATGCAATCTTGGCTCGCTGCAACCTCTGCCTCCCACGTTCAAGCGATTCTCCTGCCTCAGCCTCTCGAGTAGCTGTGACTGCAGGCACGTGCCACCACACCTGGCTAACTTTTTGTGTTTTTAGTAGAGACGGGGTTTCACCGTGTTAGTCAGGACGGTCTCGATCTCCTTACCTCGTGATCCGCCCGCCTCAGCCTCCCAAAGTGCAGGGATTACAGGCTTCCTCCCTCTTAAAGGTCTTATAATCTTGTGTGTAGCGAATCCTGCCCTTGGGAAATGGGTATGACAGCCAAGTTCATTCACCTCCTATCAGGATGCATGCTGCTTGCTTTTACCCACATGGTATTTCAGCAAGATAAACAATGTTAATGTATGAACTATAAGGCAACTTTTTGTAATGCCCTCCTGTCCCTCTAATCTTCTGCATACCTCTCTGGATATCTAACTTACACATTGTCCTGAGATTTTTCTATTTGTAATAACATTTCATCAATCTAGTACATATAGGAATAAGATGGTTCAGGTAGTGATTTTTCCATATAACTGAAGCTTTCTCTTGTAAACACTGAAACTTTCCACATTTATGCTTTATGCTCTTTAAAACAAAATATAATAATACGAGTTAACTTAAAAAAAAAGTACAGAGTTACACAAAGTGTACAGTGAAAGTTTCTGTTATCTGCTTTACTCTGACCTAACTTCCAGTACCAATCACAGTTAATGACTATTTGAGGAGTTATCCTTCCTGCATTTTCTGCACTTGAACATGTATTATACACACACACACACACACACACACACAAAACCATGCACAGCCTTTTTATGTAACTTGAATTAACAAGGTTGGGTGCAGTTTGTAGTCCCAGCTACTCAGAAGACTGAGGAGGAATCACTTGAGCCCTGGAGATCCAGGCTGCAGTGAGCTGTGATCAAGCCACTCCATTCCAGCCTGGGTGACACAGTGAGATCCTGACTCGAAAAAACAAACAAACAAACAAACAAACAAAAAGAGCCCTGCTAACATTATTTATCCTGGGTAAGGCTATGTCTCAATCATGATCCACACTGGGACATTCCAGCTATGTGAAGCAATATAGTTTCAATTTTGAGTTGTATTTTTGACATTTGCCAACAAAAACCTCTAATATACCAAATTTATCCAAATTTCATGTAAAATTAAAATACTTCAGAAGGCTTCTGGTTTCTTCTCTGGGATATACAAAGCTGTAAAGCATGTTTCTTCCACACTTACAATGAAAAAAAAAAAACCCACAAACTTTAAATACATGACTTTTCTAAAAATCTCATTACAGAACTGAGTTGTAGAGCAGACAGCTCTCAGAGGCACGTAAACCAGAACAACTGCATGTTGAATAGGAGCTGAGTAAAATGAGGCTGAAACCTACTGGGCTGCATTCCCAGACACTTAAGGCATCCTAAGTCACAGGATGAGAGAGGAAGTTGGCACAAATTACAGGTCATAAAGACCTTGCTGATAAAACAGGTTGAGGTAAAGAAGCTGGCCAAAACCCACCAAAACCAAGATGGCGATGAGCGTGACCTCTGTAGTCCTCACTGCTACACTCCCACCAGCGCCGTGACAGTTTACAAATGCCATGGCAACGTCAGGAAGTTACCCTATATGGTCTAAAAAGGGGAGACATGAATATTCCACCCCTTGTTTAGCATATACTCAAGAAATAACCATAGAAATGGGCCACCAGCAGCCTTCTGGGCTGCGTTGTCTGTGGAGGATCCATTCTTTTATTCCTTCACTTCCTTAATAAACTTGCTTTCACTTTCTACTGCAGACTCACCCTAAATTCTTTCTTGTGCGAGATCCAAGAACCCTCTTTTGGGGTCTGGATTGGGAATCCTTTCCTGTACCACACCTAGTCCAAAATCTGAGGAGAGAAAGATACCTTCAGGGAGAAAAGAGACAATAAGCACTCACTCACCTGGGGCAGATGCAACCAAAGCTGGTGGGAAGATTTTGGCCAGTGGAATCGATGAGTTGGTGAACACAGCTATGTGTGGGCTGGTGGGACAGTGTAAAGCCTTAGGGAGCCATAGAAATTGCCGGCTCCTTCTCTCAGAATTCTACAGGGTGTTCACAGAAAAGACTGGTGAGCACCCTAAGAACATGTCTGATGTGGCGCAGACCTGAAGGGAGAAAAGGCAGACATGCACAGGAGCACACGGCTCAGCCGGGCCCTTCTGCCAACTCTCCAATGGAACAAAAATTGTAATCTGTGGAGGAAAGGTCAATAAATGCTGTTGTCTTTAGGGCACTGATGAAAACTCACTGCAGCTGGGAGGGAAGGGATTGTTTAAAAATGAGAAACTCTCCTTCTGAGGAAGGGGCAGGAACACCTGCTGGGCCCAGGATTACAGACAGGGGAGAGAGGAAAGCTCAGGATGCATCCCTGAGACCAAGGGGTTTCATTAGAAAATTAATCAGAATGTCCTCCGTGTCCCACCCCCTGCCACCAAGGTAACAAGTTGCAAGTAAAGAGTAAAACATATACCAATGGGAGAGGGACAGGAAAGGTATAAGAGCATGCAGCCACTCTGAGGTGCAGCCTGAAAGCTGGGGACCCAGCAGACTTCACTCTGGCAACCCCGCCTCACTCTCCAACCTGAACACAAGTTATCCCTCCAGGAATTCAGGGTCCATGATGCCCTGAGGATAACCACAGCAACAACAAAGCTCAACAGTGTCCCACTCGCCAACTAGGTTCATTCAACTCCTCCCCCCATATCAGAAGTCTAGCAAAGGAAATGTATGCACATTTTCAGGCATAAAAACTATTTACCTCAGTCTCTATGGGCCTCCACAGAACATCCAGCTGTCAACCAAAAATTATGAGGCACACAAAAGGGCAAGAAAAAAAATTCACTCCTAGAAGATAAAGCCGTAATCAAAGTAAGACTCAGAGATGACACATATAGTGGAACGATCTGACAGGGGATTTAAAAGAACTGTGATTAATATGTTAAGGGCTGTACTGGAAAACAACGCCGGATGAAAGATTGAATGGGTAATCTCCGCAGAGAGATGGAAACTATAAAATAAAAAGTCAAGTGGAAATGATAGAAGTGAAAAACACAGTCACAGATATAGAAGGCTTTCTTTCCACAGGTTCATCACACTGGACACAGTCGAGGAAATAATCAGTGAACATGAAGACAGGTCAGCAGCAATGGCCCACACTGACACACAAAAATACAACTGAGTTCAAAACTGCAAACATTACTGAGTATCCAAAACCTTCAGAGCAATACCAAATTGTCTAACATAGGCATGTTTTGAACCTCAGAAAGAGAAGAGGAAGAGGGCAGAACAAAAGAAATATTTGAATAAATAATAGCCAATAAATTTCCAAAATGACAGACACCAAACCACAGATTCAGAAGATCAGGCAGGGCGCAGTGGCTCACACCTGTAATCCCAGATCTTTGGGAGGCCCAGGCGGGCAAATCACCTGAGGTCTGGAGAAACACCATCTCTACTAAAAATATAAAAATTAGCCGGGCTGTGGTGGCACATGCCTGTAATCCCAACTACTCAGGAGACTGAGGTGGGAGAATCACTTGAACCCAGGAGGCAGAGGTTATAGTGAGCTGAGATGGTGCCACTGCACTCCAGCCTGGGTGACAGAGGGAGACCCTGTCTCAAAAAATAAAAAAAATTAAAAAAAGGAAGATCAGATAGTACCAAGGAGCATAAATATACAAATGAACAAATGAATAAATAAACAAACAACAAAAACCATATGCAACAACTGCTGGAAACAAAAGACATATATTCAAACTGCTGAAAACAAACGACAAAAAGAAATCTTGAAGGCAGCCAGAAAAAAGACATATTCCACAGAGAAGAACAAAGGTAAGCCTTGCAGAAGACTCCTCAGAAACCATGCAAGCCAGCAGGTCATAGAGGGACATCTATAAAGTGCTAAGATGGCTGGGAGAACTGCCATCTTGTGGAACTATCAACATAGAATTCTATTCCCAGCAAAAATATCTTTCAAAAATATAAGAGAAATACTTTCTCATGCAAACAAAACTGACAAAATGTCTTGCCAATAGGCCTACACTCAAGAGCTGTTCAAGAAAGTTCTTCAGGCAGAAGAAAACTTCAGGTCAGAAACTTGAATCTACACAAAGATATAGAGCATTGGGAATGAAATAAATAAATTAAAATCATGTTTAGAAATTTTTAATTGCTCTAAAAGAGCAATTTTCCTCTAAAGCAAGAATAGTAAACAACGGATTGTGTGTTCTTAGCATATGTAAGAATAAATATATGACAATAATAGCACAAAGGAAAGGAAGGAGAAATAATGTTAAAATTCCTCACACTACATATAAAGTGGTATATTATTTAAACGTAATATTATTTAAATTTAATATATATTTAAATTTATATTATTTAAATAATATACCACTTTCTGTGTAGTGTAACAACACCACACATATACCTTTAAAGGCAGATACTGACGAATTAACTTTTATATTCCTAATATAAGAGAATGACTTTTAAATGGCACAAATAATATGTCAGTAGAAGAAATAAAATGGAATAAAGAAGTAGTTCAAAGTGACATCCCCTCAAAGATTATCCTGTTATCCTTCTCTCCACTGCCCTGATCACTTGTCTCCTTCTAGAGACTCTTAAAATATTTGGCATATCATTTTTTATCACACGGAAAGTCGTACAGAATCTTGGCAGCAAGAATGGGCACTGGAGTCAGACCCGGGTTCTGATGCTAGGTCTGCCTCTTATTAGTTGTGAGATGGGTTTCAGTCCACTGAGCCTCAGTTTTCTCATCTGCACAGCAGACTGGTGCCTACCTACCTCAGCAATTTATTGTGAAGATTGAATGAGGTCATCCATGTACATTTTTAGCTCAAGAACCAGAATATTATAAGTACTCATAAATACAGGTTATTTTACTGGTTGCACTTATGAGATTGTTTCAAAATTATTTATTTTTCATTTTTTATTTTTTGAGACAGAGTCTTGCTCTGTTGTCCAGGCTGGAGTGAAGTGGCATAATCATGGCTCACTGCAGCCTCAACCTCCCAGGTTCAAGCGATCATCCCACCTCAGCCTCCAAAGTAGCCTCCCAAGTAGCACCACCACACTTAGCTAATGTTTGAATTTTTTGTAGAGATGGAGTCTCCCTATGTTGTCCAGGGTGGTCTTGAATGCCTGAGCTCAAGCGATCTGCCCACCTCGGCCTCCCAAAGTGCTGGGGTTACAGGTGTGAGCCACCACACTCAGCCCCAAATTATTTTTTATATGTCTGTCTCTCCTGCATCCCCCATTAGAATGCACTGTCATTGGCAGCAGGCACTGGTATTATTTACAGTTTTACTTTTATCTTCTAGAAGATTTGTAGGATCATAGTAGGTATTTCAGTTAATGCTTTTCAGAAAGTGAAACAAGTGACTGAAGGCCTCAGGTATTGTTCCAGTTCATCAAGCGCATAGGCTATAGGAGCTTGGGTTCAATGGAATTTTTCCGATTACTTCATGATTCTCATTTACATGTCACATCTTTGCAATTGCCACTGCTTTTTCTGATAAGACAGGTATTTATCCTCTCTTCCTCCCTGGATGTTTCAAATTTTATAGTAACTATCTCAGTCTCATTCATAGCCTTTCTTCACCTAAGGTAGAAACACCATGGTTTGGACCACTCAAAGTACTTCCAAAACTGCTAGTTCAAGGAAAGAAAGAATGGGAAAATCTGTGACCTTGAAGATCTTGTCCTAAATATGAGCACCTGGTATAGAATTGAAATCTGCAGGTTCCAAATGTACATCCTATAAAACAAGATGCCTACAGCCAGCACAGGAAGGCACATGCCAGTGGTCAGCCTTGCAAGGAAAAGGCTTCCCTGGCGCTTCACCAGATTGAGTTCTCTATTCTGGAAGCACTTTAAGGAGGGCCTTTCAGAGGGCACTCCTAGGTGCTGAATGAGCAAGGTTTTCAAAATTCTTTCAGCAAGTGAGTCTAGAGTTGTCACCTGTCTTGAATTCCTGAAGCCACTCAAGTAGCCTTTGTGCCTTAAGCACACCTTACTTCCCTGCTCCTTAGAAGATTTACCAGCTCTGGCTCTTCAATTCTCTCTATTAATGAAGGCACATCACTGCCCAGAGGGACTGCAACATTTAACCAGTGAGAATTCTCTCTTTCAGCAGAGAATGCTGCAAACTTTTTAAAAAGATGGGCGTTCGTAAATACTTCTTTGATGTGTTAGCGGGATGAATGTGTCTGTGTAGATCTTTGAACAATATAACTAAATTCACATATTTATTATAGTATACTTTGGCATGAGAATTAAGCAAAAATGAAGAAAAAAATTTTAAGTCTTACATGCTAGGCTTGATGTCCCAAATGGGGAGAAAAAGCTGACTCTTACTTTGAAGGCTGAAGGGCAGAGGAGTTACTAGCGTGTATTTCAGCCCCTCCCATGAGATGAACTGCAGTAACTTGCATGGTTTGAGTTAAGGGAAATCATCCTCTTTGTGTGTGGGTGCCGTCCTAGGGAGGAGAAGACAAGAAAGTGGATGTGTTAGGCTGTAAATCTTTAAGGGATGTGTAGGTTCTGTGCAGGCACTTTCCTGCAATTACACAATACAACACTAAGAATGCAGCCACAGGCTGTGGTCACAACGCAGTGAGCTGGCCAGTTGGGTGACATCAGCTTGTCATCACCAGGGTAGATTTACAGCTAGAAGCAGATTGTGGTTTATTCTTCCTGGTTTTGCAAGAGGGATTCTGATGACTAGACAGCACAGAGCAACAAACTCACAGCTCTACTGGCCCTGTGCTAACTCCCCACTGTGAACAGGACAGCAGGCAGCAGCTAGACAGCTGAACAAGATTCATAAGAAGCCAAGAAAATCAAAACATACACCTTGAGAAGCCAGAGGAGGAAATCTAAGTAATCCATAGGCTCAGTCTAAAAGCCTTGCTTCTCCCCGTACTCCCTTCCCCCACCACTATGAGTCAGCATCTCTCTAGAATAATAAAACGCCACCCAACCCCTGCATCCAAGCTAAGAGTTTATTTCTCAAAAAAACAGTTTTCCATCTCGGAAGCTCTCAAATGAATTCAGTCAATATGTGCTGAGTAATTATTACGAGCCTGCCTCTTGTAAGATGTTGTGTAAGGTAGGAAAGAAAGAAATACAGCAGTGGTCTCACCACTGAGGCATTTCCGGTCTTCCTGGGAACACAGACGCACTAGAGGTGTGTGTTCTTTGTTTTCAGGCATAGTGCAGAGCTTGTGAAATTCTTTCCCTGAACCATCCTGGGTGGCAGCTGAGAGTGCAAATGTATCCCTGAAAGCCCAGAAAATGTGTTTTGCCTATGCAGTGGCTGCATGGAACTTCTGCAAACCAGTCTTTACTCCTGAGCCTGTGCAGACTCGAATAGCACTGAGTTCAAGTCAGCCTCTGTAAGTGACTTAGGATATGCTAATGAACAGTCATTGTAAGAGAGCAATATTCAACATTCCGGAGTTTTATTTCATATCTACTCTGTGCCTGACTGTGTTCTGCAAATTGGGGTTCTATCAGTAACCAAAAGAGACAAAGATCTTTTCCTTCAAGGAACTTAATAATAGTGGGAGATACAATAATATAATAAACAATTATAAAGTGTGTTATAAGATGATGACGGCTATGACAAAAAGGTAAAAAGTAGTGCAAGTACTTAAAAGGGTGAAAGGATTGGAAACCTGGGGTGAACGGTGAAGTAGGGTAAAATTACAATATGAAACTGGGTGGGTCAGGGCAAACCTGACTGAAAAGGTGAGATCTGAGCAAAGGCTCAAAAAAGGATCGAGTCCAGTGGATATCAAGGGAGGAACATTTAAAGACAAAGGAAACAGAGCGTGGAGTCTCCAGTGGCAGCACATCTGGCATAGTGGAGGAACTGCAAGTCTACCTGGGTTGGGCATGAGGAAGAACAGAAGAGGAGGTCAGAGCAAGAACGGAGACCAGTTGGTGCTGGGCCAGTGTCATGGGTTTGCCTTTTACTCTGTATGAAGTGGTGAGTCATTACAGGGTTTTGGGCAGAGAAGGTACAAAATATGGCTTGTGATTTGAAAGAAAGACTTCAGAGACGTTTGGTTTCTGCTGTGGCATGTAAAAAGCTTGGAAGTTATTTTTACAAGAAGAAGAAGCTGGATAAACAGAAAACTGATGGCTCGTCTCAACCCATCAGATCACTGATATTGCAGCGGTCACAGAAAACTCTGGACTACGGAGCGACAGGCGCATCCAGAAAGTCACAATGCAGATTAGCTTCTGTGGGGCAAAAGGTGCTGTGGCCATAAACTCCTAGGAACATTTAAATGATAATTTTCATGAAGTTATACAGGCTGAGGGTGGCCTACCATGAGATTAAGAAACTCACAGGCACCACGGTCTTAGGGAAGGGCCTACACTTTCAGGGGTTTTACTTCCAGAAACCCCACTAGGTTCTCATGGTGAAGATCAAGAAACATCCCCTCACGGCTCTGGTAGAAGGTGGGGAAGATTAAACAATGCAAAACACACAGGCTTATCCTCCAGAGCACAGCACTGCACAGGAGCCGATCCCACGTGGGAGAAAGAACTTCCTTCCCTACCAGTTTACTCCAGTTTATCTCACTGGAAAGAGGAAGGGAGGAAGAAACATAGTCATTGGGTGTCAGGGCTTCAGGGAAATAGATTGAGACTACTACAACCAGGGAAGGAAGTCGAGGGCATTAAAAAAAAAAAGTTTACCACTTTGGAAACATTTGTGAAGGTTACAGCCCGGAGACACAGGCCCAATTAAAAACAGATTTAATTGGAAGATAATAGAATGCTCCCCCTACCCCACACCTTACCAGCACACCAACAGGAACTCAATATAATAACACTAGATCCCAGATAATAGCGCTACAAGACATAAACCGTTTCCGAAGAGAAGCTTTAAGGGAAACCGAAAGTCAAGATGAGACAAAAACAAGGACACTAGAAAAATCTAAAGCCTCTGAGACCCACAGCTAAAGGCTAAAGCAACGTTAAACATGGCCTAACTCTTAGAGTAACATAAATTCTCAAATTAAATGCTTTCTTACCTCAGTTCCTGTCACCTGATACAACAGGTTCAACTTTGAACAATAGATTAAGGGCATAGCAAAAGGCAGGAAAAAATGTAGTTTAGAGAACTAAAGGGCCAGCAAGCCTCAGAATCAGAGTCATATATAACATAGATGTTGGAATTATCATACAGGAGATGTATGAGAGTTCTAGTGGAAAATGTAGTTCAAATAATCCATGGCAAAAAGAAAGAAGATAGAGAAAAAACAAACTGAAAACTATAACAACAAAAAAGACAAACATAAACACTACCATATCAATGATTACATTAAATGAAATGGTCTAAATATACTAAAGACAAATATTGGCAGAATGGAATAACAACCATAACTCAACTATATGCTGTCTATGTAATGATATGAACAGTTTGAAAGTAAAAGTATGAGAAAATGTGTATTATGCAAATATCAACCAAAAACAGGAGCAGTGATATCATTATCAAATAAACCTCAGAGAAAGCAAAGAAATTACCAGAAAAGACATTATATAATGATAAAAGCATCAATCCACCAAGATCTAACAATTCTAAATGTATATATAACAAACAATAGAAATGCAAAATATGTGAAGCAGGAACTGATAGAACTGAAAGAAAAAACAGACAAATCACAATTATGATTGGAAACTTCAACACACCACTCTCAACAATTGACAGAATGATTAGACAGAAAAAATAACAATATAGCAGAACTCAACAACATTATAATGCAACAAGATATGATCAACTTTTATTGAATACTCTATCCAAGAACAGGAGAACGCACAGTCTTTTTAAGTGTCCATGGACAGATACAAAGATAGACCATATTCTAGGCTACACACACACAAACACACAGACATTAAAACAAACAAACAAAAAACTCAACAAAATGAAAAGAAATGAAATCATACAGTGTACTCTGACCATAAAGAAATCAACCTAGAAATGAATAATAGAAAGATAACACAAAAATATCCAAACCCTTGGAAAATGACATACTTCTAAATAATCCATGGATCAAAGAGGAAGTCTTAAGGGGAATAAGAAAAATACATTGAATTGAATGAAAATGAATGTATAACACTTCAAAATTTGTGGAGCACAGCTAAAGCAGTGCACAGAAGGAAATTTATAGCACTAAATGCATACATTAGAAAAGAGGAAAAGTCTCAAATTGATAACAACATCCCACCTCAAGAGCCCCCCCAAAAAGAAGAGCAAAATAAATCCCAAGAGAAGAAAGAAAATAATAAAGATAAAAGCAGAAATCTATGAAATTACAAATAAGACAAAAATAAAGAAAATCAATGTAACAAAGAGCTCTTTGAAAAGATAAATAAAATTAAGAAATCTCTAGAAAGACTGACAAAGAAAAACACAAATTAATAATATCAGGAGTGAAGCAGGAGGTATCACTAAGGAAACTGCGTATGTAGAAAGGGCAATAAGGGAATACTATGAACAACAACACATAGTACAACAGAACAATAGTAAATTTGTCAATTTAGAAGAAACAGATCATTTCCAAAACACAGCTATCAGAAAACCCAATATGAAATAGGTAATTTAAATATCCCTACAACTATTATGGAAATTTAACTTATAAATTTAAAAACTCCCTCAAAATGTTCTCCAGACCAGATGGCTTAACTGGAGAATTCTAACAAAGGTTTAAAGAATTAATGCCAATTCCACAAAATCTCTCCAGAAAATAGGAGAGGAAGGGATACTACAATTCATTTTTTGAAGCTAGTATTACCCTAATAGCAAAACCAGACAAAGACAATACACACAAAAGACCACAACCCCCGGCCTGGCGCGGTTGCTCACGCCTGTAATCCCAGCACTTTGGGAGGCCGAGGCAGGCAGATCACCAGGTCAGGAGATCTAGACCATCCTGGCTAACACAGTGAAACCCTGTCTGTACTAAAAATACAAAAAATTAGCCGTATTCGGGAGGCTGAGGCAGGAGAAAGGCGTGAACCCGGGAGGCGGAGCTTGCAATGAGCCGAGATCGCGCCACTGGACTACAGCCTGGGCGACAGAGTGAGACTCCGTCTAAAGAAAAAAAAAAAAAAGACCACAACCCCCATACACAAAAATATAGGTCAATATCTCTCATGATATAGACCAAAATTCTTAACAAGATATTAACAAATAGCATTCATAAACAATTAAGAAGAATTATAGGCCAGGCGCGGTGGCTCACGCCTGTAATCCCAGCACTTTGGGAGGCCGAGGCGGGCGGATCACGAGGTCAGGAGATCGAGACCATCCCGGCTAAAACGGTGAAACCCCGTCTCTACTAAAAATACAAAAAATTAGCCGGGCGTAGTGGCGGGCGCCTGTAGTCCCAGCTACTTGGGAGGCTGAGGCAGGAGAATGGCGTGAACCCGGGAGGCGGAGCTTGCAGTGAGCCGAGATCCCGCCACTGCACTCCAGCCTGGGCGACAGAGCGAGACTCCGTCTCAAAAAAAAAAAAAAGAATAATTATAGACCATAACCAAATGGGTTTTGTTTCAGGGATGCAAGGTTGGTTTAATTTTCAAAAATCAATCAATGTAATCCACTTATTAACAGGCTAAAGAATAAAAATCACAGAATTACATCACCCAATATAGGAAAAGCATTTGACAAAATGGAACTTTCATTATGTAAAAATGCTTAGAAAAATAGGAATAGAAGGGGAACTTTCTCTACTAGATAAAGACCTACAAAAAACTACAACTTACTCATACTTACTGGTGAAAGTTGTATGCCTTCTTTCTAATGTCTGGAAGAAGGTAGGGATCTACTCTCACCACTCTTATCTGACATAGTGCTGGAGGTGTTAGCTAGTGCAATAAGACTGGCAAAGGAAGTAAAATGTAAGCAGATCAGAAAGGAAGAAATAAAATGATCCTTACCTACAGATAGCATGGTTACCTACATAGAAAATCTCAAGGCACCTACAAAAAAAAAAAAAAAAAAAACCCTCCCAAAACTGGTAAGTAAATTCAGGCTTACAAAAATCTATTGTATCTCTATATGCTAGCAATAAAACCATACATTCTGAAATTAAACATACAATTCAATTCATAGTCACTCAAAAAAAGGATCACATAAATTGTAAATCTAACAAAACTTGTGCAGAATTTATAAGCTAAAAGTTAAAAAAACTCTAATGAAAGAAATCAAAAGATAAATAAATGGCTACTGTAGTTACAGATTGGAAGACAACATAGAAAAGATGTCAATTCTCTCTAAACTGATATAGAAGCTTACAATTCCTATTAAAATCTCAGCAAGTATGTTTTTTTACAGATGCAATAAAAATTAACCTAAAATTTATAGGAAATGCAAAGTTAACTAGAATAGCAAAACAATTTTGGGAAAAAATAAAGTGGGAAGAATCCATCTACCCAATTTCAACTCTTTCAGTACAACTAAAGTAATCAAGACTTCTTGGTATTGGTGAAGGGATAAACAGATGGGTCAATAGAATAAAATATAGCACTCAGAAATATACTCACACAAACATGAGCAACTGATTTTGACCAAGGTGCAAAAGCAATTCGAGGAAGGAAAGACAGTCATTTCAACAAATGGTGCTGGAATAATTAGATATAAATAGGCAAAAAAATTAAAAACAAAAGCAAAACAAATAACCCTTTACCTAAGTCTCGTAATTCATATTAGCTCAATAAAGATCACAGACTTAAGTATAAAACGAAAAGTATAAAACTTTTAGGAAAAAAAGGCCAGGCACGGTGGCTCATGCCTGTAATCACAGCACTTTGGGAGGGCGAGGTGGGCGGATCATGAGGTCAGGAGATTAAGACCATCCTGGCTAACATGGTGAAACCCCGTCTCTACTAAAAATACAAAAAAAAAAAAAAAAAAAAAAAAAAAAAAAAATTGCCGGGCGTGGTGGTGGGCGCCTGTAGTCCCAGCTACTCGGGAGGCTGAGGAAGGAGAATGCTGTGAACCCAGGAGGCAGAGCTTGTAGTGAACAGAGATCCCGCCACTGCACTCCAGCCTGGGTGACAGAACGAGACCTTGTCTCAAAAAAAAAAAAACAAAAACAAAAACAAAACAAAACAAAAAAACGAAAAAATGGCTTAGGAAACAAACAAACAAAAAACAGGAGAAAATCTTGGGGTCTAGAACCAGGCAAAGAGTTTTTTGCACTTCACACAAAATTATGATCAATAAAAGAAATTATTGATAAATTAGACTTCACTAAAATTAAAACTTTTTGTACTACGAAAGACCCTATTAAGAGAAGGAAAAAACAAGCTACAGAGTGGGAGAAAGTATTTGCAGATGACATATCCAACAAGGGAATCAAATCTAGAGTACACAGGGCTGGGCGCGGTGGCTAATGCCTGTAATCCCAGCACTTTGGGAGGCCGAGGCGGGTGGATCACCTGAGGTCAGGAGTTCGAGACCAGCCTGGCCAACATGGTGAAATGCTGTCTCTACTAAAAATACAAAAATTAGCCAGGCGTGGTTGCACGCGCCTGTAGTCCCAGCTACTCAGGAGGCTGAGGCAAGAGAATCTCTTGAACCCGGGAGGCAGAGGTTGCAGTGAGCCGAGATCACACCACTGCACTCCAGCCTGGGTGACAGTGAGACTCCATTTCAAAAAAAAAAAAAAAAAAAAGAAATAAAAAGAAAAAAGAAAAAAAAAGAGTATAGAGTATATAAAGAATTCTCAAAATTAAACAGTAAAAACCCAAACAATCCAATCTAGACCATACAAAAACTGTATGAAGCCAGTTTACCAAAGAATATATACAAATGGAGACTAAGCACCTAAACAATATTCCACATCACTAACCTTTATGAAAATGTAAATTAAAACCACAATGAGATATCATTACACATCCACCAGAGTGGTTAAAATAAAACAATAGTGGGAATAGAAAATGCTGACAAGGATGCAGAGAAAATGAATCACTCATGTATTCCTGGTGGAAATATTAAATGGTATAGCCACTCTGGCATTTTCCATAAAAATTTAGCATGGAACTACCTACGGCAAAAGTAAAAGTACCTACCCATGAAAAGTAATGAATTATCGATCTCCACAACAACCTGGATGAATAATATTGTGTGAAAAAGTCTTAGAAAAGTGAGTGAAAAAGACAATCCCCAAAAGTTATATATTGTATGATTCCACTTATGTAACATTCTTGAAACATCAAAATTATAGTTACAAACATGATAGACATTAATTTAACTTTATCAACAATCAATTTAAATGTGAATGGTCTAGATACACAAATTAAGAAACAAAGTGTTAGAGTAGATTAAAAAATAAAAGAAACAACAACAAAAACAATTTTTTTTAAAAAAGAACCAACTACTAACTATAAGTTTGATACAAAGAAACTACTCTAAACATAAAGATTCAGAACAAACAGTCCAGGAACTAATAAGTCAGCATAGCAAGGCTGCCCTATATGAAGTCAATAAACAAAAGTCAATTGCTTTCTCATATGCCAGCAAGGAACAATTGGAGTTTAAAATTAAAAAAAAAAAATACACCCTCCACGATAGCACCAAATAAGACAAAATATGTGTGTATCAATATAATAAAATATGTACAGTATCTATATGCAAAAACCTATAGAAATCTGATGAAAGAAACCAAAGACTATCTAAATAAATGGAATAATATTTCATGTTCATAGACCGGAAGATCGAATATTGTTAAAATGTTGATTCTTTACAACTTGATCTACAGATCCAGCATAAACCCATTCAAAATCCTAACAAGATATTTTGCAGATCTAGAGAACTGATTCTGAAATTTGTATGAAAGGCAAAACAACAACAGTAAACAAAAATGAAATAGCCAACACAATACTGAAGAAGAAAACAAAGTTGGAAAAATCACACTATTTCAAAGCTCACTATAAAATGATAGTTATCAAGACAACATGGTATTAGCAAAATAGACACATATATTAATTGAACAAAACAGCTCAAGAAAAAGACCCATACAAATATGGTCAACTAGTTGTTGTTAAGGGCATAAAAGAAAGGCAATTCTATGGAGTAGAAGGTTCTAGAACCAGTCCCCCACAGATACTAACGGGTGACTGTACATGCGAATTGGAATTGAACAGTTAACTAAATGGATGACAGATGGTAGAAGCTAAGTTTCTCACTATTGGAATGGAAAGTTACAGCAAACAAGGGGAAAAGGCTAGAATGATCCATGTAGTAATAGATTAGATTTGAAAACATTAATTTGAACTCAAGTTTAGTTTAATGCCGATACAGGTAGTTACAGACATACAGACATATTTCTAGATATGTGTATATACAGATGATATACACACATATATTTCCTTGCTCTTTCAGCTGAGAATGCCTAGATGCAATGACACCCCAGTATCAATAAGTACATCTAGTACCCAGATCAAACTGTTTTCCAATAAAATAGAACAGGGTTTCCTGGAGAAATGGCTTATTCTAGGACTGATTCAGGAAGTATGTGAGGATGAGCCTAGATCATCCTGTAGTGACAGAAAGTTAGAAAGTACACACACACACACACACACACACACACACACACAGAGGGAGAGAGAGAGAGAGAGACAGAGAGACATGGGATTATATCACAGAAGCTGCCAACTGGAGAGCTCCAAGTAGCCAAAGTTGAAAAAATCGAGGAAACAAGATAAATAAATAATAGATTATAACCTAAGTATAAAATAAATATCTGAGCCCATACTGATATGAATGAATGAATAAAGAGACAAATCTCCCATGCAGAAGAATTCAAATAATTTTGATACTTTCCCCCAAAGGAAGTGAAACATAACTTCCCATTCCTTCAATGTGGGCTGTGCATAGTGGCTTTCTTCCAAAGAATATAGGATGGAAAGGAGGACAAAAGGGTAACATTGCAGTGGAAAAACCTTATGATACTTAAGCCAGTTAATCATGCTTAACATTAATGGTAATATGATGATTCATGTTAATATTATATATCTTTTTTTTTTTTTGAGATGTAGTTTCACTCTTGTTGCCCAGGCTGGAGTGCAATGGCATGATCTTGGCTCACTGCAACCTCTCCTTCCTGGCTTCAAGCAATCCTCCTGCCTCAGCCTCCCAAGTAGCTGGGATTACAGGTGGCCGCCACCATGCCTGGCTAATTTTTTGTATTTAGTAGAGACGGGGTTCCACCATGTTGGTCAGACCGGTCTTGAACTCCTGACCTCAGGTGATCCACCCACCTCAGCCTCCCAAAGTGCTGGGATTACAGGCATGCACCACTGTGCCTGGCCATAAATCTTTGATATAATGTGATGAGAATGATACTTGACCTACATGGTCTTCCTCCCCAAAACACATAACCCTAATATAAATACGAGGAAAGCATCAGACAAATCCCAGTTGAGGGACAGTCTATAAAATACCTGATCAGTACTCCTCAAAACTGTCAAGTCATCACAAACATGGAAAACATCAGAAACTATCACAGCCAAGAGGAGCCTAAGGAAACAGGATAACTCAATGTATTCTGAATGGGATCCTCCATCAGAGAAAGGACGTTAGACCAAACTCAGGATGTCTGAATAAAGTATGAACTTTAATAGTAACACACTATTTGGGCTCATTAATTATGACAAATGTACCATACAAATATAAGATATAAGTAACAGGGAAATAGGGTGTGGGGTATATGGGAATTCTCTATACTATCTTCATGTCTTTTCTGTAAATCTAGAATTATTCCAAAATACATCTTTTAAAAAACATCTGGCCGGGCGCGGTGGCTCACACCTGTAATCCCAGCACTTTGGGAGGCCGAGGTGGGCGGATCACGAGGTCAGGAGTTCAAGACTAGCCTGGCCAACATGGTGAAACCCCATCTCTACTAAAAAAATACAAAAATTAGCCAGGCATGGTGGTGGGTGCCTGTAATCCCAACTACTCGGGAGGCTGAGGCAGGAGAATCACTTGAACCCAGGAGGCGGATGTTGCAGTGAGCCAAGATTGTGCCATTGCACTCCAGCCTGGGCGACAAGAGCAAGACTCTGTCTCAAAAAAAAAAAAAATCTTCTTGTAATACGAATGCAAATGAAAGACAGTTGTGTCTATCACAACCAAGTGGAATGCTTAAGTTAATGACTTGATGAAGGCAAGTCTCTAAAGACATTGTTGTGGACCTAGATATGAATGAGAAGAGATTTGGGAAGAAAGAAAATGTGGACTACTTTCAGACTGTTTCACAAGGAACCTTCATTGTCTCAATTCAAGTAGAATAAAAAACAGAAATGGAAACTGAACACCCTAGAAAATGTATCATGGGCATAGTTCACTGAAAAAGACCATATAGTCATTCTGTAGATTCCCACTCAAAGAGAAGTCCTTGCCCTCCATCAGAATACTGGTAATGGAAGTTAATGTGTAAGTTTTTAAGTTATTATAATAAAGACAAGTATATAGAGGTATCATTTATTATTTCTTGCTTAATTTTTTTCAATTAACCAACCAACCACCTGCCAGATTTAGTTGAATATAAAGTTTCTACTGCACTGGTCCTTCTTCTCCTCATTCTCATTCTCGTTTTCTGTCTCATTATTTCTTTATCATCTATACTTTCAAATGACAACCAAGCGGCTGGTATGTAATCCAGACAAATTTTCCATAGAAAGCTGTAGACAATTTAAGTTTTATCAGAGCAGATGTACTTTCTTACGGATGGGATGCCGTAGGGTATGAAGAACACTAGGCCTTATGAATTGATGTTATTATGGGGGTTAGTCTTATCCAGCAGACAGCAAACTGTGAAATGACCTTACTGACAATTCCAGAATTACGAAAAAGATCAATAAATCTGACAAGTCCATTCTTCAGCGCAGTGAGGGAAAGTGAGCTAAAAATAAACTGAAAATGGAGCATGAGTCAAAACTATCTCACCAAAAAGATAATGTAGGGATGCTATGACCACCACCTTATTTCAGGATAATGAGAATTAGTCAGTCCACATACTGACCCTGTGAAGCAGGTGGATGCAGATGTTACCATCCAGAAACTTGGAGGAAGCAGAGGGAAACACACTAAGATTAATGGCACCAGAGGAAATAACATTTGTTGTTCATGGTTTTCCTGGTTGGGAATGCCTAAGGACTCAATTCTTGTACTAAAAGTGTCAACGCTTGCATTTTAAATGTAGAGATGGCATCATTACATCATTAAGTGCACATTGCAGGCTAGTCTTTGCATCACACATATTTAGCATGTTTATTCCTGCAAGGGCAGTAGACTAAATCCTTCACAGGTAATAAATACATCATATTTAACACCATTCACCTCTTCTGGACCAATAAAGAATCAACAGCCCTAAAGTGGTTGTGATTGTAGAGTTTTCCCTGAAAGACAGCCTCACTGAATTCTCCCAAATACCCACATTTAAATACACTGATCTGTGATCAATGAATATACTTGGTCATTTACAAATAGGTATTGAGAGCTCACCCTACTAAGGGCACTAAAGAAAGCACAGAGGATACAAAGAAGGAAGAACAGAGTACCTGACCTTGAAGAACTCACTCTGTTTCAGGACCACCATGGTGTCAACCTCACCAGTGGCTTCTCTGTTGCTAAATCTAGTAGTGGCATTTCAGTGTTTCAGTGTTGAGCTTTGATCTCTGAAGGCTCTGGCATTGCTGAACTATTCCTTCTTTCTTAAAACTGTTTTCTTTCTTGCTTTCTATTATACCGTACTTAATTTTGTTTCACGGGTCACTTCTCAATATTTTGTTACATCTTCCTTCCTCTACCTGCTTCTTAAATGCTGGTCATCCTTGTTAGTAGCAATAGTGTTTTGGAATGATTCTCTATTGAGATCCTTTCAAGAGCATCCTCTTGACCCAGCAAGTCCAATCCCGGCGGTCTATGCTTCTAAAACACTCACATGCACCAGTATGTTAAACATGACCTTCTGTGTAGTCCAATGCAGTGGCCACCAGCCACTTCCATCTGCTTCCCCTGACTTCTAGTCCTGGTGGTTTGGTTGAAATTCCAGGGGTGGGCAGGCAGTCCAGGACTTATCAGCTAGGGAACCCATATCCCTCCTGCCATTGTACCTGGTTCAAGAATGAACATGTGACACAAAACGTCAATGAGACTTCTCCCCCACCCGAAGACTTTGGCTGAAACTATCAAGAAAGATACTCTCTCTTTTGGGGGAGGATTATTAGTTAAAACAATGCTATAAATGTAGAACTGCTAGTGACCACAATTACCACCACGTAGAGACAGCCAGTCTAACTATGAAGTCAACAGATGGGGGAGAAGGAGAAATAAAAACAGATCTTCAATGCCATCATTAATGCCTTTGGGTCATTCAGTAACTTACGTAAACTGTTAAATTCTCTTTTGTCAGCTGGGCGCAGTGGCTCATGTCTGTAATCCCAGCACTTTGGGAGGCCGAGGCAGGCAGATCACCCGAGGTCAGGAGTTCAAGACCAGCCTGACCAACATGGTGAAACCCCATCTCTAATAAAAATACAAAAATTAGCCAGGTGTGGTGGCGTGCACCTGTAATCCCAGCTACCCATGAGGCTGAGACAGGAGAATCGCTGGAAGTTGGAAGGCAGAGGTTGCAGTGAGCTGAGATCACGCCACTGCACTCCAGCCTGGGTGACAGGGCAAGACTCCGTCTAAAAAAAAAAAAAATTATCTTTTGTCATTAGGCCAGTTTCATTTGGGTTTCTGTGGTTTGTGACCCAAGAAGTCCCAAGTACCACAGAAAAGCTTGGAAACAAACTAGGTGCCTGTTAATAATGAAATAACTCATCAAATTATGGTATATGCTATAGCATTCTCTGCAGGGGTCAAAAGGAAGAGGCAACATGATATGCACTGTCATGGAAAAGTCTTCTAACACATATTTTAAGCAAAAATGGAGGTAAAAGGCAGGTACAGAATGAACCTATTGATATTTTAAATTTGTGTGGTGTGTGTGTGTGTTTGTGTGTGTGTGTGTGTGTGTAAATATACCAGAGGACTGGGAGGATTTATTCCAAAATACTTACAATAGTTATCCATAGGAAGAGGTTAGGGTTAAGCAGACAGAGATATGCATTAAAACAGACTTTTTTTGTATTTTCCATTGCTTTTCTAATTTTATCATGATAAGAATATATTTAGGTATTACTTAAGTAAATTTAAAAAATTATTATAAAATGAGAAAAATCCTTTTTTCAAGGTTTTTATGTTTGACCTTTATGGCTCTCGTTCCACAATCTAATACATCAAAGCTAACATCCTTTTCCCAAAAACGTCTTTCTCTTCTTTATTATTCCCTAATCTAGTTAATGACACCCCCTTTCATCTAGTCACTGAAGTATGCTGAGAGCTCTCCCAGAGGTGGCTTTCACCTGCACTGCACTCTCCCCCGTATCTATCTGATCACTAAACGTAATCAATTCTCTCTCAAACGCCTCCTGAATTTGTTCCCTTCTTCCCCTCACTTCTGCCACCTCGGTTCAAGTCCTCATGAGTTGCTTGGATGATTGCAATAATTTCCTATTCAGTTCCAAGACTCCATGTCTTCTCATCGTTTACTCACTTCCACAAAGAGATATTTCCAAAATGCAATTCTGATCTGTTTTTCCTCTGCTTAACAGCCGTCAGCTGATATAGGAATGAAGTCCAAACTCTGTAGCACGGCACGCTGGGTCCTTCGAGATCCATCTCATAGACATCTCCAGGTTCATCTCTCACTTTCCCAACCATCCACTCCCCTTTCCAGGTTTTCACACTTCCCAAATTTCTCACGGTTTCCGGAATGTGCCAACTCCTCTCTTGCTTCTGTGCCTTTACACATGCAGCTTCCTCTGCGTAACTCACTCCTCCCTGCCTTCTTTGCCTGACTTACTCATTCTTCCTGAAAGCTTAAGGTGAGCACTGTATTTGGTTCTCTCAGGTTAGACTGGGCACTTGTGCTCCTGAAACTCTACCACTATCACCTCCCTTATCATCCTTTCTTGTAATTATCTCTTTACTTGTCTGCCTCTTTTTCCAAACTCTCCAAGCAGGGAAGGCAGTATCACAAAATACAGACTCACAGCCAGACTGCCTGGCTTTGAATCCTGCCCTACCATTGTATAGCTAAGAGACTTTCTGGCAATTCACTTAATTTCTGTGCCTAGTTTTCTCACCTTTAAAATGAGGCATATCCACCCACAAAGCTGTTGTGAAGATTACATATGTTATTATGCACAAAGTGTTCAGAACAGTTCCTGGCCCACAGAAAGTACCAAACATTTGGTATCATTTGTATTACTAATAACCTTTGGATAATACCTAGCCCAGTGCCTGGCAGGCACCCAGTAAGTGCTCAATGAATGAACAATTGCTTTTTTGAACAAAGTATTTTGAACAAGTACTTCTGTATAAGTATGTATTTTTTTAAAAAGTGGCTCAATTTTAATCCAAGACTTTCTATCTGTACTCACAAAATAAGGAAAACGCCATTTAGAAACTTCAATTTCAAATAACTTGAACACCCAGCGTGGTAGTCCATGACAAAGCCACACATCACGGTTCTGGTGCGATCATTCATACAGCTTTATCATAAATACAACCTCATACATTAATTTTCATCTCCTAAGTGGCAAAAGTGTTATGTCCCATGTTGAACTAATGGCCTGTAGAATTTTATGTCTAATGTATTCTGGAAATGCTGGCAGAATGATCCTATGGCAGGATTTTCTCAAGTTCTGCTTTTACATCCTGTGACAACCCAAAGTTACCATGATTTTAAAAACAATGTTTTTTTTTTGTTTTGTTTTGGTTTTTTTTGAGACAGAGTCGTGCTCTGTCGCCCAGGCTGGAGTGCAATGGGATTATCTTGGCTCATTGTAACCTCCGCCTCTGGGGTGCAAGCAATTCTCCTGCCTCAGCCTCCGGAGTAGCTGGGATTACAGGCATGTGGCACCACGCCCAACTAATTCTTGTATTTTCAGTAGAGATGAGGTTTCACCATGTTGACCAGGCTGGTCTCAAACTCCTGACCTCAGGTAATCCACTCACCTCAGCCTCCCGAAGTGCTGGGATTACAGGCGTGAGCCACTGTGCCCGGCCAACTATGGTTTTTAAGAACTTTTTCAGGGCCAGTGCGAGGTCATGAAAGAGTATTTGTCATCTTTGCTCCTGTAACAGTCAATATTCCTTGCAACCAAATATCCTCATCTGCATGTTTTACTGTACCCTAAAGACCCAGACAACCAGAAATGTCACCAATGAATAACAAAAGTTCTTAAAAGAATGACTGAAGAAGCAAGATAAAGAGAGGGAAGGGATCGAGGAAATGAAGGAGCGAGGAAGAAGGATGTGTGGTAGGAGGGTCCCATGTCTCAGGAAGGGACATGCAGAGACCGTTCTTTCTCACTGCCCTCCTGAGAGGTGACAGTGTGCTGGCAGCCCTCGCTCACTCTTGGCGCCTCCTCGGCCTTGGCGTCTGCTCTGGCCATGCTTGGGGAGCCCTTCAGCCCGCCACTGCGCTGTGGGGGCCCCTCTCTGGGGTGGTTGAAGCCAGAGCCGGCTCCCTCAGCTTGCCAGGAGGTGTGGAGGGAGAGGCGTGGGCGGGAACCTGGGCTGTGCGTGGCGCTTGTGGGCCAGCTAGAGTTCCGGATGGGCGTGGGCTTGGCGGGCCCCGCACTCAGAGCGGCCCCGGGCAGTGAGGGGCTTAGCACCCGGGCCAGCAGCTGCAGAGGGTGCGCTGGGTCCCCCAGCAGTGCCAGCCCACCGGTGCTGCCCTCGATTTCTCGCCGGGCCTTAGCTGCCTCCCCACGGGGCAGGGCTCCTGACCTGCAGCCCGCCATGCCTAAGCTTCCCCCACCCCGCCCCGCCGCGGTGGGCTCCTGGCAGCCCAAGCCTCCCCGAAGAGCGCTGCCCCCTTGCTCCACGGCACCAGGTGTCATCAACCAATCGCCCAAGGGCTGAAGAGTGTGGGTTCACAGTGCGGGACTGGCAGGCAGCTCCACCTGCGGCCTCAGTGTGGGATCCACTGGGTGAAGCCAGCTAGGCTCCTGAGTCTAGTGGGGACTTGGAGAACCTTTATGTCTAGTTAAGGGATTGTAAACACACCAATCAGCACCCTGTGTCTAGCTCGGAGTTTGTGGATGCACCAATGGGCACTCAGTATCTAGCTGATCTGGTGGGGACTTGGAGAAACTTTGTCTAGCTAAGGGATTGTAAACACACCAATCAGCACCCTGTCAAACGGACCAATCAGCTCTCCATAAACCAGACCAATCAGCTCTCTGTAAAATGGACCAATCAGCAGGATGTGGGTGGGGCCAGATAAAAGAATAAAAGCAGGCTGCCAGAGCCAGCAGTGGCAATCTGCCAGGGTACTGAGAGCTTTGTTCTTTCACTCTTTGCAATAAACCTTTTTGCTGCTCACTGTTCGGGTCCACACTGCCTTTATGAGCTATAAGACTCACTGCGAAGGTCTGCAGCTTCACTCCTGAGGCCAGCCAGACCACGAACCCACCTGCAGGAATGAACAACTCCAGACACGCTGCCTTAAGAGCTGTAACACCATGAAGGTCTGCAGCCTCACTCCTGAAGCCAGCGAGACCACGAACCCACCAGAAGGAAGAAACTCCGAACACATCCGAACATCGGAAGGAACAAACTCTGGACACGCCGCCTTTAAGAACTGTAACACTCACCATGAGGGTCTGCAGCTTCATTCTTGAAATCAGTGAGACCAAGAACCCACCAATTCCGGACACACTCCTACCCCCTCAACCCCCCCACCCACAAACACACCCACGTATCCACACACATGCAAAGCCAGGCTGCCATTCACTAGGAAGTGTCTCACCCACCGTCTCGATACACGGCTGCACTTAATTTGTCTGGTGGGTTCCAGCCTTGGAACTCAATATTTCTGCCCCCCAACTTTTGTGTGTGTGTGTGTGTGTGTGTGTGTGTGTGTGTGTGTGATGGAGTCTTGCCTTGTTGCCCAGGCTGGAGTGCAGTGGCGCAATCTCGGCTCACTGCAAGCTCCACCTCCTGGGTTCCCGCCATTCTCCTGCCTCAGCCTCCTGAGTAGCTGGGAGTACAGGTGCCCGCCACTGTGCCCGGCTAATTTTTGTATTTTTAGTAGAGACGGGGTTTCACCATGTTAGCCAGGATGGTCTCAATCTCCTGACCTCATGATCCGCTTGCCTCGGCCTCCCAAAGTTCTGGGATTACAGGTGTGTGCCACTGTGCCCGGCACCCCCCCCTTTTTTTTTTATTCCAGATCTGGCAGACTTAAGAGAGTAGGCAATATTCATCCTCCAGACCTCAGGGGGAGTGGGGGATTTGGGGGCTTAGGGAGGTAGAGAATATCATGAGGGCAGGGCCTGGGCCCTCTGGAAGCTGTCTGTTTCCTTCCTTGGCCTCCTGGCGCTTTGATCTCACTCTCTCACTAATCACTTCTCTCCTCTGTTTCTACCCATAAAGCCCAAAGGATTAGAGGCAACCAACTTAAAATAATACTGTGTCCTATATTTGGGCAGCTCCTTTCTTCCGAGGAAACTGAGTGCCCATCCAAATCTTGCTTCATTAACCTCAGAGCCCTTCTGTGAGGGGGGCTGCCAGGCTAACAATAATTCTCTATTTAGTGAAACAGGAGCAAGGCTGAGGGAAGGGCTGGGGGACATCTGCAGTGGTCAGAGGACAAGACCTGTCATGAGCAAGACTTCCATGAGTCTAGTGGACAAGTAACATTTCACATTGTGCAAGGAATTGTCCCAGAGAGCCGTACTACCTGTAAGCACAACAATGGGGCCTTCTAGAAAGCCCCTAGGAAATACATTCAAAGAGACTTTTTTTTTTGAAAAAAAATATTAAAATGAGCAGAATGAAAAGGAGCTATCAATTAGGACTTTCAGGCAGAATCTTTACAGGGGACCTTAACTGTGAACTTCTTGATATAATCATCTTCTGTCACTAATATCCACTGGCTTTTTTCCAGGAAAATCACAAACACTCTCTTTCTTTCACTATATTCTTTTTCATCAGAGAATAAGATCTTGCTTCTCATTCCAGAAAACTCATTGTCATCAGCTCTCTGAAGATAAAGAGTGATCCAGCATTAGCGGGAGGCAAGATGGGCCAGGATTCAGAATCCCCAACTTTCCGACTTGCTGCCTACTTTCCTTGCTTTTGTCTCACTAATTTTTCTTTTTTTTTGACACTTAGCCATTATCCCAGCCTAAGAGTGGATTATTCAAATAATATGTGCTAATGCTCCCTCAATTAGAGAAAATAAGAAAGCTGCCACTCTGGTTCTATCTGAAATTATTCATATTTTAATTGGTGCTTCAAAAAGATGATGGCAAAGTGAGTCA
Source organism: Homo sapiens (assembly GCF_000001405.40). NCBI lineage: Eukaryota > Metazoa > Chordata > Mammalia > Primates > Hominidae > Homo > Homo sapiens. Next base: position 233,131,901 of record NC_000001.11, read on the forward strand.
AATGCCTGCACAACTAAGCTTTTGTGGATTTCGTTTTAGATCTTTTTTTTTTTTGAGATGGAGTCTCACTCTGTTGCCCAGGCTGGAGTGCAGTGGTGGGATTTCAGCTCACTGCAACCTCTTCCTCCCAGGTTCAAGCGATTCTCCTGCATCAGCCTCCTGACTAGCTGGGATTACAGGCACCCGCCACCACGCCCGGCTAAATTTTTTTGTATTTTCAGTAGAGATGAGGTTTCACCATGTTGGTCAGGCTGGTCTCGAACTCCTGACCTCGGGTAATCCACCCTCCTGACTTCAGGTAATCTACCCTCCTCGGCATCCCAAAGTACTGGGATTACAGGCGTGAGACACCGCACCTAGCCTAGATCACGTCCTTGTCAGGTTCCATCCTCCCCATTCTACACAGGATGTCGCTGAGTGTCTGCACCGACTAGAAGGACGACTGACAGCCATGCTTACTCCCTTTCTTTGTCCCTTGAAAGCCCCTTTGGTGAGATGCCCACTTCGAGCCACATATTTTTGTCAGTGGACTGCTGTCAGTGCAGAATGCTGTCAGGATGAGGAAAGGCGGCCTGTGCTCCCATAAATGAAAGCCACTCTTCTTACTACAGGTATGGAATTATTTAGAAGCCACGCCTAGGACTCTTACAGAAAGAAACCTCACTCCTCTTCTGTTCACCTGGGGCCAGTCACTAATACAAGGTGATATGAAACTGACAGTTCAGTGTGGAAAAGTGGCCACATTCCTTCACAAACACAGTGTGTCACTTCCTTTTTCTACTTACATACAGCTTTAAAAACACGACCTTCTATTGGAGAGTATGTTCTACTTAACTTTTTTCAGTTATATTGACAAATCCTCTTAAATGACTTGCCATTATTATTTTCCATTTTACAGGAAACTGAGGCTCAGAAAGGAATATAAACATCATCATGTCAAAATGTAAATAATGCCTGAGTCAGGATTGAACTCCTCTGGCACATTTTACATCTTTTTTTTTTTTTTTTTTTTTTTGAGACAGGGTTTCATTCCTGTTACCCAGGCTGGAGTGCAGTGGCGCAATCTCGGCTCACTGCAACCTCCACCTCCTGGGTTCGAGCAATTCCCCTGCCTCAGCCTCCTGAGTAGCTGAGGCTACAGGGGCATGCCACTACTCTTGGCTAATTTTTGTACTTTTTGTAGAGACTGGGTTTCGCCATGTTGCCCATCCTGCTCTCGAAATCCTGATCTCAAGCAATCTGCCCATCTCAGCCTCCCAAAGTGCTAGGATTACAGGCGTGAGCCACTGTGCCAGGCCACATTTTACATCTGATGATAAACTCTTATCCCTGCAAGCAGTGAAGTAATTTCTAGTAACTTCACAAATAGTTTAAAGATTATAGGATATAATGTTACATTTATTATGTGAGATGACAGAAATTGATAGTTAATGAAGGAAAATAGCTTATGGAAGCCTGTGATTTGAACAGTAGAAAAATGGGATAAGTTAATCAGAACAGAACAGAACTCAGCAAACAGGAAATAAATGTTTGACCAAGGCCAGGGTCTACAATAAAATACAGAAATTGGGGCAGGCTGCAGAAGTAATGGTGAGAAACCAATGGAAGATGACACAAGAGGGACGTAGGTCACTGAAAATTAGTGCCCAATTGGAGTTATAAGAGGAAATTGGGGCCAGGTGCAGTGGCTCATGCTTGTAATCCCAACACTTTGGGAGGCCAAGGTAGGAGAATCACTTGAGGCCAGGGGTTGGAGACAAGCTTAGGCAACATAGCAAGACCCTATCTTTACAAAAAGTTTTTAAAACAATTAGCCAGGCGTGGTGGTGCATGCCTGTGGTCCTAATTACTCAGGAGGATGGGGCAGGAGGATCACTTGAGCCCAGGAGTTGGAGGCTGCAGTGAGCAATAATTATGCCACTGCACTCCAGCCTGTGAGTGGCATTGTGTTTGTGAAGGAGTGAGACTCTTTCTCTAAAATAAAAAACAAAGAAATTCACGTGCAATGGTGGGGTGGTGGGAATTACTTATGAGGCCTCTTTAGTACGATACAAGAGTTTTTTATTTTTGTTACCTAAGAGAATCCAAGAGAAAGGCAGTAGAAGGAAGAGGTAAGTAATAGAAATAAAGATGAACAGAACTGATTAAGAGGTGAAAAAATTTTAAAAATTTAAAATTTAGAAAGACTTACAATTAAAAAAATTATTAACTAAAAGGGGAAAGGTGTTGCTGAAGTCAGTCTCCAGAAGAAACCCCGTGGCTGCTGTATTCAACTGCCGGTGTGAGTGTGAACACCACGTGGAAGAGGTTGTATCATCACTGAGTTTATTTACCAAGAGTTGTTCCAAATTTCTTTCTATTTCTGCTTACAAACGTAGGTTTCATTACAGTGATCAGGCTAGATATGGTCATGGAGAACTCCCAAGTATCCAGAGGATTTTATTTCTCTCCCATTAATTAAACATTAGATACGAGCCCCATATATTTGCCTGAATTATAAGTAGGATTTCTCATTGCCCATGTATGAAGTTGCTCAACAGATGAAATCTTGACTTCAGACAAACTAAGCGTATTGGAAATACTCCAAGAGACCCTGCTCTTGGGTACCAGTTCCTTAAATTTATCTCAAGAGGAAAAAGAAAAGAAAACAGAAGAAAAAAGGAAAGCAGGAAGGCAGAGAGGCGGGAAGGCAGGCAGGGAGGGAGGCAGGAAGGCAGGAAGGAAGGTAAGAAGGGAGGGAGACAGGGAGGGAGAGACGGAGGGAGGGAGGGAGAGACCAGTGAACTTGGTTGCTAATCTTTAATTCATAGCATTTTAAGATCTAGGGAAATCTTACAATGAGATTGTTAACAGAGAAGAAGGTAATAAAATTTCAAGTCACACTAATGGCTAATTCATTTTAATTAGTGATTTTTAGCAAATAACATGGCATACTTACATTCCATGGGCAGTTTTCCCCAAATGGTAGCAAGAGTTTAACATACATGTATAATTCAATTTCATATCCTCCCATAATTTTTTTTATAAAGAATAAGTTTTAAACTCTTAAAACATTTGATAAGAACAGCCCCCTTTAAAATGTTAAAATGAAGAAAATAGCTAATTCACTTGCCTTGCTAAATAAAATGGACACCATGAAGAAATCCAGTAAGAAGCTCTCTGAAATATCTTTGTAGTCAAAGTGGAAAAAGATGACAGTGAAGCTCAAGTTAATAAACTGGTAAACCGGGTTGCAGAATGATGTCCGCAACAGCTTCATGCCAGCAATGATCATCAGAAAAATGTCCCAGCTGTTGGAAACAAAAGAAAAGATGCAATCAATGACAGTGTGCACACTGCTGGATGAGTTTCATTCGCTAACAATTCTCCAGGATTGATGGTTCATTAAGAACTTTACAGGCACAAAAAGCCAATCTAAGGGGCCCCATTATTGTCTGCATTTTACAGGGGTATAAACTGAATATCAAGGAATTTGAGGAACTTGTCTAAGGTCTCAAAGGGGCAGAACAAAAATGGAAATTCAGTCCTGAGTGACTCTCAAGCACAGTGTCTTTGCCATTACAACAGACATTTTCTTTCCATCACATGCTTTTCAAAGTCCCTCATGTTCTCCAGCAAGGGCACAGAGCTCCTTCTGAGCTTGTCTGAATTCACTACTGCAGTGATGATGGACATTTCCCAGAAATCCTAATGCCAAATGAGAAAACAGGCAACATGCTGCCCCTGCTAGAGTGAGCTCAGTGTATGCCTCTTCATGAGAAAAGAATCCAATTCGAACAGTGACATAACAGGTAGGAAATTCTGAATAGAGAAAATAATCCAGTATCTTCATAAAGCCTTTTCTATTTCTGCATATTAACTTCCAATGTTTCTCAGCATATTTGTCATCCTAGTGAACATAAGGTTTCTGCTCTCCCTTTTTTGTTGTTTAAAATTATATCATCAATGTGTTTTTCCCCCATAGAATGGGCCTTTTCAGTTAAGGAGCTCAGCAAAACAGGCAAAGAAATACCCTTCTAGGATTTTGCTTTGAGGACTGAAGTCCTGAGTGCTCTTACCTAAGGAGTCAGATTATTATTATTTACCCATGTAGGGAGTATGTGTCATGTGTACAATTCTCCAGATGATAAAGTCAACAATGAACAATCCATCTTGAGATTGGAGGGCAAATGATCACATGCCAGTGTAGCCCAAGAGAGCAGGCAAGTGCCTTCTTGAAGGGCCTGGCTTTCTGAAGACAGACACTGCACATTTTCACCAGACTCCCTCCAATTCTAACATGCTATGATATTTGGCAACTGCAAGACAGAGGTGGGAAAATTTCTAGAAAATGGTTGCACTTCTAAGAGAGGCTTTCTTTCCCTGGCTCAGTATAGAAAACTGGGGCCATGCCTCAATTGCCCTAAACCTAGAAGAATCTTGGACTCAGGAACCTTATCAGCATTATGAATATCTTATCCCAGAATGAGGTTATTTAAGAAGTACAAAATTGTCATTTTTGTCATAAAAAATACAATGTTGGAAATTCCGTATGCCTCAATCTGCTGTTTTTTGTGCCTTCAGACCTAGGACTGCAGTTGTTTCCACCTTGCCCCAGGATGTGTGAGGTGTGGTTTGCCCAAGGCCTTGTACAGCAGGCTTGGATTTGCTTCTGAGAAAAACTAGCACTTGATTCCATGCATACATCACATGGGAAAGTCTGTCTTTAGCCTCAACCTAGAGCCCCCTGTGTTCCTGCAGCAAGGCTGAACATTGCTCCATAACTGGCCTTCCTTTTCCAGTGCGCAACTAATGCCCAGGATGAAAATACAGTATGAAAAGATGACGTCAGGTCCAGTTGCCTTTAACAACAGCCCAAGGTACAAAAACCTAAAAACCCCTGTGGAAAGCCAAAGCCCTGTGGAGAAACCCCAATGATAAGGTATCTGAAGACTTAGGGATATTTTGGTTTTCAGGGGAGACTGCTGATTTTCTGGGTTATTCAGGCAAAATCCAGTTGAGAAGCAAATCTAACTTTCTGTTTCTGTGACCAAGGTTCCATGAACTGCATCCATTTTATGTTTAGTAGGGATGACTGGTTCAAACTGTGGGAGATCTTAAGGACTCATGTGCATGGCCTTTATAACATTGCAATAGTAACAGCTACCATTAATGACCCATAGATCATTGTATACAGCAGGTCCTCAAATAACGTTGCTTCATTCAATGTTGTTTCAGTATAACATTGATGGGAAAACAAAATGGATTCCTGGCCAGGACCCCACTGTCGGTGTGGAGTTTGTACATTGTCCTCATATCTGTGTGGGTTTTCCTCTGAGTTCTCCGGTTTCCTCACATATCCCAAAGGTGTGCACAGTAGGTGCACTGATGTGCTGACATGGTCCAGTGTGAGTGAGTGTGAGTGTGGGTGTGAGTGTGTTCTGCGATGGGAGGCATCCTGTCCAGCATGGGTTCCCACTGGGCACCCTGAGCTGCCAGGACAGGCTCCAGCCACTGGATGCACTGAATTGGAATATATGGGTAAATAATTATCTTAATTGTTTGTATTAATCTTTCCTAAATGTATGTATCATTCACATTTATTTCAATGTTTAACATTAAAGGTGTTTTGGTCTTTATTTAGAAGTTCGGTGATGTTTTTGTGACCAGAAATACGCTATGGAACATAATTCTTGTTTCTATCAATTAGCCCACAGTAAACTTTGTTTTATTTAGTTTTGTATTGGTTTTTATTAAAGTCACAGTTTTCAAGAACTTATCCAGGATGTTACGTGAAGATAGACTGCACTTAGCTGAAGGTTTTATAAAGGCTGAGGTAGCAATTGGTGAACAATGCCCTGGAACAGATGGAGAGCATCCTCTTAGATCAGGCTAAGAAACAGAAGCACCTAACAAGATACCCCAGTTCACCGACTCATTAATTTACCAGACCCCTACTTGGTTGTTCATGCATTCATCCTTCTAACGCTTACTAGTGGTTTGCTATTGAAAAGTTGAATAAGAAACAGTGCCTGCTGTTGAAAAGTTCACTCTGTGACTATTTAGTACAATGGCTCTCAAAAATCACAGGGAGGGGCTGGGCTTCTCTGGTTTAGAAAAGGTCTCAAAGTGATACCAATATAGAGTTTCCTGCTATCCTGTTTGAGAACAGTTGGTCTAGTAGGGTGCCTGAAACCTCGAAAAATGTTTTGTTTTTAATTCTACAGATGCATCAGGAATAGAAAGGAATTTCCACCTTTGGGTTCTGAGTGAAACAATTGCTGATGTGATCATCTGGGAGTTGAGGATATTCACAGCTATATAGATAACGTGCACCTTTCTGACTTTAGTGTCTGGAAAAAAATTACAGGGGATGGAGAATAATATTACTTCTAAATGGACCCTCTCTGAATTATTTATTTGACTCTGCTAGAGTCTTAGCCCTTGCATCTGCCTTCTCTAACAACTTGGCCTCAACCCCACAGGCTTAGCTCAAGGTCCTTGTCCTGAAGTTGAATAGGGAAAACTTTAAATCCTTTAGCTCAATTTCCCAGAGTGGCACTGGTACCTTCTTTGCTACTCTGGCTTTGAATATGTGTTCCCATTCGAGAAACTGAGGCTCTACCTTGTTCTCAGGGGGAGTTGCAGGGTCAACCAGGACTGTACCATACTGGGAATCCCTGCCTTAGAGAAGCTCACAAAGTTCTAAATTCTGGTCATCTCCTAGATTGGGTCCCACTTAAACTGTATAAGGGGTCTGAAGTCCAATCATCTGCTTTTCTAAATCCAGTGAAACTAATTCTCATCTCTGGATTTGAAGTCTAGAATTTTAAGTATCAAAGAACATAGAATTCTTGCCCTGGTCTGACAGAAACAGGTCTGGACTAGAAGGAAGGCAGAGTTCAATAAGGACAGGTTATGGGATCATTTCATTTAGTGTCTGCTTTGTGTGACTATGAATCTACTCAAAGTCCAACAGAGTATTAAAATGCCTTTTATCTTAGCCTGCTCAATCTTTGGAGAATATTAATTAATTTGTCCTCATGACACCCTGAAAGGAAGAGCAGGTTTGAATTAGCATGTTTGGGATTATGCATCAGGGTTGACTTGGATACATAGTGTTTAAGCAACGTGACTAATGAGCAAATCTGGGAAAGAATCTCTTTTATATCCTCCTACTCTAACAACTTCTTTGACCAGCAACTTTTGCCTTTCATCAGAATGACAAATCTACAGATTATCAAGGAGATTTCCATGTTGTAAATTCAGAATTAATTTTAATATATGAAACCAATAACTCGACTGTACATTGTTAATGCTTTGAAAGACATGGGCATCTTGACAGAATGAAGTCTCTGTGCCAGTTTTTAAATTACGAGGCTTCTCTTGATAAATTCAGAGACAGCAGTGACAGTGATTAATTTCCCCCTCCCACAAGCACAAAATGATAGAGTATTTGCTAAATGAAATGACATGAAGCAGTTCATAAAGCTCTAAGCATGATGTTAAGAACTCCAGGAATCCTGGACTCACACTGTGCTTCCGTCTTCTTATTAAGGCTCACTGACTAAGCTTCTGCAGGATGATTTTCAAATCTACTGACATTTATTCACAATATCATTTCAAGCAGATCTAACTTCATTTGCACCCCAGTCATTCTACAATAACTGTCTAGCTCCAGTGGGTTTTGAGTAAAAGACCACCATGGCTTATTTTTACATGGCCAATCACAGTCGGTAAAGGTTGGCTTCTTCTGCAGATTGTTTACAGAAAATTCACTCGATTTTGAAAATGTGACCCAAATCATTATGAAGATAAACCATTAACCACTTACTGGGTACCAAGTCTCCGGTGATTGCTTATTAAAAATGCATCAATAGTGAGGGCATTCAAAATTAGCGCTGGGTACAAGATGTATTTTTCAAAACACTGAAGCCAAACATAGAGTCTTTCGAACCACATTAAATGGGCAACATCTGAAAGAAATATAAAAACCACTTAGAACAACCACCGATCAAAGTATTTTTCTTTAAGTACAGGTAATAATAAGTAATATTCCCCCCCTTTAATTCAAAAGCTGCTAATTAAGAACTCGTGATACTAGACATGATATACCATTTTTTTCCAGGCAGCAACTGTTAGCTTTGCTTCTACACAGTTCATAAATAATAATATACATACAGTAATATAGGCCAGCATCCCAATTGTTCAAGTCAATTGATTTCTTCATATATAATTTACTGAGACCAATGAATGGGCTGTCACATAGCATCAAGTCATCTTAGCGTAGTAAGGGTGGAAGGTGAAGGATGAAGAGTTGGAAAAAATCCCTTATGTCTGTCTCCTTTTAAGCTAGGGTTCACTTCTGTGGCTGAAGCTAGTTTCTGGGCTTTCTTCTCTCCCTTTTTAATCTTTAAACCACAAACAAATCCCTGGGCAATATATGCAAATAAGACACAGCTGACTCCCAAACCCCAGCCACTATGAATCTATTACCTTCTTCTGAGTGCTTACAACAAAGGAAGTACCACAAAGATTGAAGTCTATTTCCATTAAGGGCTAAGGTTTTAAGTTAGACCAACCTGGGTTTGCATTCAGTCTCTACCAACCACTAGTGAATGACCTTGAATTATTAGCTTCATCTTTTCGAGCCTTAGTTTTTTGTGTCCTGCCCATCCTCTGAGTCTGCTGATGGGGAAGAGGTTCTTTCCACCTCCTACTCCTCATGGCAGGAGATGGGGTAATGAGGAATGCATGCTTGCCCATCTGGGGAGCCCGTGCTTTTCTCTCTGGGGAGGAGGAGCAGCTGGCGTGAGTGGTCAGAGCACAAACTTCCTTAGGTCACATTCAGCGGTGGGGAAATGCTTCATCCCTGCCTCTTGGAACTGGAACAAGAGCCAGGACTCTCCTCTGCTTCCCAACTTGAGGAGAGCACAGCAGGTTCAGGCCCAGGGCCCTCGGCTAGGCCCCTCTCATTCCCTGCCCCCTCCTCTCTGTCTGTCAGTAATTGGGAGGCTGCAGTGGGCCCCCACCTACCAGCAAATGAACCAGCTCTGCTGTGGGCTTCATGCTCTCCACAGCAAGCCTCAAAGCTTAAAGCTGCAAGGTGCCAGGCAACTCCATTACACCTCTGGAATCACATTCTTCAACAATTTATAGTAAAAAAAAAAACTTTACCCTACAATGACCTAGAGTTAAAAAGAGAGTTATGTAGTTTTTACATTGGGTTGCACAAGAACAACTCACAAAAGAGAAAAAGTTCAAGCTGACAAAACAGCCTGTTCCTTCCAGGTCTCTTATCCAAGATTAGCATACAAATTGTCTGTTTCCAATCAGCTTCACTGGGGCTCTGCATGACAGATCTCAGGAAGTATCATAAACACACACACACAAATAGAAACTATTTTACTTTCTACTTGATATGGCTCATATTTCTATATAAGAATATATCATCTTGGTAACTCAAAAACAAAACTACTTTCATTTGATTAAAAATATGAAGAGAGACCGGGTGCGGTGGCTCATGCCTGTAATCCCAACACTTTGGGAGGCCAAGGTGGACAGATCACTTGAGGTCAGGAGTTGGAGACCAGCCTGGCCAACATGGCGAAATCCGACTCTACTAAAAATACAAAAGTTAGCTGGGCATGGTGGCATGTGCCTGTAATCCCAGATATCCTGGAGGCTGAGGCAGGAGATTCACTTGAACCCGGAACCCGGGAGGCAGAAGTTGCAGTGAGCCGAGATTGTGCCGCTGCACTCCAGCCTGAGTGGCAGAGAGAGACTCCATCTCAGAAAAAAGAAAAAATATATATATATGTGTGTGTATATATATATCTGTGTGTGTAAATGTGTATATATATATATGGGTATATATGTGTGTGTATATGTATATGTGTGTGTGTGTGTGTGTGTGTGTGTATATGAAGAGAGACTTGGCATTTAGAAATCTTACTTGAAAAGAATTCATTCGAATGGGCTAGGAATGGTGAGAATAGACAGCGTGAAAGTCCTTCAAGATATTGGAAATAAAGTATTATCAGTACAAACACTCCAACAATGAGCTTAATAAATAGAAGAGACAATGAGAAATCATCCAGATAAAAATAAAAAGAAGTTTTAGTGACAGATGAAACAGGGAGGAAGAGTGGGAGGAGAATAAAGTTCAAAGAGCAAGGATGTTGGGCAGGAATTCAATGTTGAATATTCTTAATGGACAAAGTATAATTTTTTCTGGAGTAGATTTGGAAATGTGTTATTTCATAATGAATGTTTTATACACAATAAAGTCTAGACATATTAGACATTTTACATATAGATTAAAGGATTTTAATCTGTTGTGAAAGCATGTGGGCTGTCACATAGCATCAAGTCATCTTACAGTAGTAGAGTAGTAAAAAAAAATCTTCAAGACCACTCCTGCATTCCCTCCCAGCAACTGTCTTTGACCTCCACTTTCGGGAGAAAATAAAGTCTATGAGGTACAAATGCCCTCCAACTACAAATTCATTTATACTCATATCTACTACTGGCTCCTCCTGAAGCCAAGCTCCATCCATGTCCTGCATCCTGTGCTCCTGCCATCTTGGTTCAGTAGCCACTCCCTGCCTCAACACTAGCTCTTTCCCAAGGCAAGTGGCAAGATCCCAGTCTTCTCTGTGTGGAAAACTCACCTTCCACCCTGAACCTCCTTCTAGAGCTCACTCTGGCCTTTTCTGTACTTCTCAGCTTCTTGGAAAGCTTGTCAATATCTGATGTTCCCACTTCTGTGTCTCCCACTTACTGGGGACACCTCTGCCCCTGGGTATTTGCAGCTACCCTTGCCCTGACATGCATGTGGCAGGACCTCTTGTGACCTCCTGATGGTCAAATAACTGATACTTCTCAGTCTCTCTTACTGGACTTTTCTGACGCATAAAACATCACTAAATCCTCCCTCCTTTTGAAAACTCACTCTGCCCTTAGCTTCCCCATCCCACCATCCCCAGCTTGTGCTCAAACCTTTTGCTCTACTCTTCTCCCATTTCCTCTGTCATCTCCTCTTCCCCTATCCCTGGTCATCTGCTTTCCTTCTCCCCCTATTATTTTTCTTATCTTCTTGAGCTAATGTCTTCAACACCCGTAACTTTAATTATTACTTCCATGCTGATGACACTCAAATCTATAACTCAATATCTCATCTTTCTCCTGGACTTCAGATCTAAATAATCAATTGAATAGCTTCATCTGATGTCCCAAAGGAACTTTCAAATACAACATGTCACAAACGTAATGCTGTCAACCTGTACACACCTTCTCTTCCTCATACATTCTTGCATTCACTTAGCCATGCAGACAATATACCCAGAGTCATCCTAAATCAGCTCTTCTCACTTCTCATAGCTGTACGTTGAAATCACTTCGGGGCAAAGCTGAAAAACACTGTCCTAAATGGTGATTCTCAAACATCAACATGCAAATAAGTCCCTTGTTAAGATGCAGAGTCTGATGCAGTAGGTCTGGAATGGAGCCAGACATTCTACATTTCTAATAAACTTCTAAGTGATGCAAATACTCCTGGACCTCAGGGAATACTTTCAGGAACAGCAGAGCCAGCAGTACCAGCATCCCCTAGGAATTTGTTACAAATGTAAATTCTCAGATTCAATCCTGGACCCAATGAGTCAGAAATTCTGCGGATTGGGCCCTGGGCAAGGCAATCTGTGTTTTGACGAGTCCTACAAGTGATTCTGATACATGCTCCAGTTTGAGAACCATTTTCTGGATGATCTTCCTCTATACATGGAGACTAAAGGACTGAAGGACTAAACTGGGTTGATTCCATGTGCTCACTCTCTGCATGTCTATCCCTTCTTTTCTGTCTTCCATGCTCTTAATCACTTTTGCCTAAAAAATTATAATTATCTTTTATGCAGATAAACTGTTTCCTAAACCAGCCAGATGTGTACACTGTATTCTAATCCTTCTTATCTGTCTCTACTTGAGGACTTGTTTCTTGCAATGATCCCCCATTCTCCTGCATTACTTGGATTTTTTTCTCTTTACCGAATCATTCTCATCAGAAAAAAAAATTGCTATAATATCTTCCATTAAAAATATACCCCAAGCCTGGGCAATATAGGGAGACCCTGTCTCTACAAAAAGTTTAAAAATAAGCTGGGCATGGTGGTGTGTGCTTGTAGTCCCAGCTACTTGGGAGGCTGAAGTAGGAGGATTGCTTGAACCCGAGAGGTTGAGGCTGTAATAAGCCGTGATTACACCACTGCACCCCAGCCTGGACAACAGAGCGTAGACCCTGTCTCAAAAACATGAAAAAAATACCCTCTTTTGGCCTTACATTTTCTTTCAGATGCTGGTTATTTTCCAGGCACTACCCGGAAAATATTTTCATTTTTTAAAAATGTAGCTACACTCATTTTCTCAACAACCTTATCTTCCTTTTCTTTTTAAGTTTACTTCAGTCAGGTAACTTTTTAAGTTTACTCCAGTCATCAAAACCTAGTTATAGAGTACATAACTAGGTGTAGAATTCATAGGTTATCAGGTGTGCATATAGCAAGCTTCAGCAGATAATGACAAATAATTGTCCAAAGGTATTGTGCCAATTTACACTCTCGCAGATGGTACCAGAGAGTTCCTTTTTGTTCCACATCTTTGCCAAAATGTTTTTTCTCTTCTTAATTTTTGCCATGCTGCCCTGTGTAGAGTGGTATCATATTATGGTTTTATTTAACATTTATTTAATGACTCATGCAGACGAGTATCTTTTTACATGTTTACTGGCCATTTGGATACACACTTTTGTGAAGTAGTTCTTCATTCTGTTGCCTGGTTCTTTTTCCTATTGGATTATATGTCTTTTCCTTATTGATTTTTGGGAGTTCTTTATACATTCTAGGTATGAGTCTTTAGCCAGTATATGTATGAAGAAAAACTTCTCCCATTTTATGGTTAGATTTTCACTCTCTTAATAGTATCTTTTATAAAAAAGAAATACATAATTTTAATATATTACAACTTCTCATTTTTTCCCACTTAGGGCCTTCGGTGCTATTTGTTGTTGTTGTTGTTTTGTTTTTTTTTTTTGTTTCTTTTTTTTTTTTGAGATGGAGTCTTGCTCTGTCACCCAGGCTGAAGTGCAGTGGCTCAATCTCGGCTCACTGCAAGCTCCGTCTCCCGGGTTCAAGCCATTCTCCTGCCTCAGCCTCCCAAGTGGCTGGGACTACAGGCGCCTGCCACCACGCCCGGCTAATTTTTTTGTATTTTTTAGTAGAGACGGTGTTTCACCGTGTTAGCCATGATAGTCTCAACCTCCTGACCTTGTGATTCGCCTGCTTCGGACTCCCAAAGTGTTGGGATTACAGCCATGAGCCTCTGCACCTGGCCGGTGCTATGTTTAAGAGAAAAAGATCATGATCACATTCTCCTATGGTTTTCTCTAAGACCTTTATTGCTTTATCTTTCACATTTAGATCAGCAAACTATCCAGCATTGATTATTGTGTATTGTGTAAGACAGGGGCCAAGACTCATTTTTTTCCATGTTAATATCTGATTGACTGCCACCATTTATTGAAAACAACTTCTATTTCCCCCAGCACTGGAGTGAACTGTGATGTTTTATGTGCCTCTACGTGTGCTAGATGCTTTCCTGGAATGACCCTGAGTCTTTTCTGCTTGAGAAATTCCTAATCTGTTTACAGGGCTGGCATCTCGCCTTCTGGAGACCTCAGGCCCCTTTGAGCCCCCTGCTTCCAATACAGTCACTACCGGAGGCTGCCAGGGGCAGGGCATTTGAAGCATCATTCTGGTAGGAGGAGGATTTACCACTGACAGTGTTTAGAATTCTCAGTACATGGTAACAGTAAAAAGGGGTAACTTTTAATTGGTATTTTTATTGTTTTAAAATTCTTTATAAGCCATGCACCCCCTTGCTGACTGCTCCTGGGCAGACCCCACCACTTCCTTACCTTCGGTGCTCTACTGACGTCCCATGTATGGAATAACCATTAGGTGTCTGCCAGACATTGAGCCAGGTGCTCTGTATATACTGGTGTAGCATCTCAAATCCAAAAACCTGGAATCTGAAATGCTCCAAAATCCAAAGCTTTTTGAGCACTGACATGACACCTAAAGAAATGCTCATACGCCACAATCCAAAAGAAACCATAATCAGAAATACGGTCCCAAGCATTTTAAATAAGAGGTACTCAACCTGTATTATTACTTCTAGCTTCAACGCAAAGAATGTTATTCCTTCACGCCATCACTGTACCCTGTGAATTCTATAATTTAAGGAAGTGTCACATCATAGAGTAATTATTCACTTAAATACGAATCTTCCCACTAGATTCTGAATTTGTTAAGGGTAGGTACTATGTACCTACTAGAATGTCTGCCAGAGAGTTGGGGTTTGGTAAATGATTATTACCTTATCATTTTTAGTGGTTGAGGGAATTCTGGATAATTACATTTAACAGAGGTTCTGGGGGAAAAAAGCAGTCTTTTTGAAGTACTTTTCTGATTATGAAATAAAAAAAGTAACTAGCGTATTAAACAACATTTCCTATTTTAATCTCTCATAAAGTACAATCAGTTACAGTTAAGTTTCTTTCTGTACAAAATTATTTTTTCTGATTTCTCAGTTTATAAGAGATCAACAGTGTCAGATTGAGGCCATCACATCAAATGCAATTCAGCCTGCTTATAAAAATACATTTACAGAGTTCTATCAACATTTGTCACCAATTCAGAGAGACATGACAACCTTAGCTATATTCCTGCAAAAAAAATGTAAATGAAGAGAAATATAAGCCAATCTCTTCCCAGTGCTATTAGAAAAACATATGAATTAAAGGAAACATTTGAGTGGCTGGGTCATCACTGTAGAATAGCCCGGGCACCATTTGGATGGGGGAGTAAGAACTAGATTTTCAAAAGCTTGTCACATTTACTTTTAGAAAATGACATTTTCCAGTGAGTGGAGATAGATTGATTTGAGTGGAGGGACATAATCCCATTACAGTCTACAAGGATTTACCACAGGTCATGGCAACAAAAGTAGGTTTTTCATAAGAATTTCAGTTTACTCATCTCAGAAACACATAAAACAATGAATTTCAAATAAAAGAGACAGCACTGATAAGCTCTGAATTCACTATCCATGCCTTTCCAAATATTTCAGAGTGAAATACTTATTCAGTGAGATTCTAACCATCTGAACTACCTGGGGGGTGTGTGTGTGAGCACGTGAAACTATGGTTGACCCTTGAACAAGGGGGAGGTTAGAGACACCAACGCTTGCACAGTCAAAAGTGCGAATTTAACGTTGACTCCCCCAAAACTTAACTACCATTAGTCTAATGTTGATCAGAAGCCTCACTGGTAACATAAACAGATGATTAACACATATTTTATCTGTTATATGTATTATATACTGTATTCTTATAATAAAGCATGCTAGAGAAAAGAAGATGTTATTAAGAAAATCATAAGAAAGAGAAAATATATTTCCTATTCATTAAGTGGAAGTGGATCACCATAAAGGTCTTCATCCTCATCATCTTCACGTTGAGTAGGCTGAGGAGGAGAAGGAGGAAGAGGAGGGGGTAGTCCTGCTGGCTCAGGGGTGGAAGAGGTGAAAAGGTGGAGGAAGTGGAAGGGAAGGCAGGAGAGACAGGAGCACTAGGTATAACTTTTACTGAAAAAAAAAAAAATTTATGTGTAAGTGGACCACACAGTTCAGACTTGTGTTGTTCAAGGTCAACCGTATATCATAGACACAACTTTAAGTCAAGTGATTAAAACATTTAATCTTTAGGAAGACTTGGACTGTAAGTACCATTCTGCTGTCTGACATTAGAACAGCATTTTGTTGGCAGGCCCTGCATTCTATATGGCCACAATAACACATATGGAGATGGGCTGAGGCCAGGGATCTTTAAGAGGTGATAACTGAATCTCTACTTAGAAGCAAAGCAAGATGATAGCTATAAAGGAGCTCTACGTTGGACTTTTGAAGGGAAAAAATCTTTTGGGGAACTGGAAACCAGTTAATTCATAAGTTACAAAACCTTTACTATTATTTTTATAGGAACAGGAGAGTCACAAAAAAATACTGAGTTAGAAACCAGGTTGAACTGCATAATTCAGCTCTAGTTTACTGCCCACGGTACTTCAAAGGAATGAAAGTGACAGCTTCTGACATCTAAATGTCATATAAAAACTACCACTGCTTTCCATGGATTAATTCTGCATCTCTAGATGAGAGGACAGCAAATGTGTTTACACTATGAGCACACACCAGCAAGCGGGAATGAAATAAAACATTTCAGGTAAAGATTCATCCCAAGGCACGGTTTTCCTGGTGGGTGTTGAGTACAACATCTAGTCAAAGCAGAGATGGGAAAAGGTGAGGAAACAAGTTAAAATAAATATCAAGAAATGACAAAGTAGAGAACAAAACCCAGAGATCACCAAGCCCAAACTTTTGACTTCAGGTTCCATTAACGCTGCATATTGACAGGATATTAATTTCACTTTTTTTCTTTTCTTTTTTTTTTTTTGTTTTTTGAGATGGAGTCTCACTCTGTTGCCCAGGCTGGAGTCCAGTGGCGGGATCTTGGCTCACTGCAACCTCTGCCTCCGAAGTAGCTGGGATTACATGAGTGTGCCACTACGCCAGGCTAATTTTTTGTATTTTTAGGAGAGATGGTGTTTCACCATATTGGCCAGGCTGGCCTTGAGCTCCTGACCTCAAGTGATCCACCAACCTTGGCCTCCCAAAATGCTGGGATTACAGGCCTGAGCCACCATGCCCGGCCTTAATTTCACTTTAATTCTTACTTATCTTAGAATCCTCCTACCAATCTCAGCAATTTATTCTAATGACACGCTTCAGTCTCTAGATGAGGAAAACATTTAACAGATAAATGAAACTCATACTGAATGTTTATAGTTGGAAGTAGAAAGGGACACATTAAAAGATGAATAATAATGTAAGAAGAAGCTAAAACAAAAGTGTAAGTCCAGAATTCTGATTCCTCAAAGATTAAACTCACTCCTTTCACATACACCAACCATGAAAGGCTAGAAAAAGGAGGGCTTGCCCATGCAGCAGCACGGCAAATGTGCTTCCTGCATCCCCAGATTGTGTTAGGGTTCACACAAAGTAAAGTCAAAAAGAAAGTCTGCAATGATATTTTGTAACTGCCTTTCTGTAATGTCCCAAATATGCAAAGAGACCATAAAAAAACCAATACTTTAGCATGATTATTTCTCTTTTCTCTGGAATATTAGGTCCTTGAGAAAAAGAATGCAAACTAATTATACCATTTACAAGTTTATATATAACTCATTACAATTAAAAGCTTTAAATTGTCTTAAAGGGTTTCAGGTTGTGTTTTGTTTAGACTCTTTATGCTACTAAAATAAGTTCTTCTCCATAATTAAAAGTTAATAAAAATCCTCAGGATGTTTTCAGCTTTAGAAAGAAAATCTTCACCAATTCAAACCTTGAATTAGGATTTAAGCTGCAAGGATAGAGGGCTTCCTGCTATATAAGGGCCAGATGCATTTCAGTGGGGGTGAGGCTTGAATCAACTATCCCTGGTGTCACCCCTGAGGCATCTGAGGCAGAGAGACTCTGCAAAGTGGAATGAACACATCTGTGCTGTTACCATCCCCTTATTATAGACAATTGCTTTTTTCTGTAAGCTTTCTCACTCTCATCTGTCTTCCTGGGTCAAATCTCAGCTATCATCAAGTTCTTAGCACTAACATGTACACATGTTGTTTATTCTCTAGAAACAGGATTCACTTACAAAACCAGTAGAATGAATGCAGGGTAAAGGAAGTCACATCATCCTTGCTGCTCAAAGCCCTTGATCTCCGTTTAGGATGAACCCATGGTCCACCATTTTTTCTTTTTCAATTAAGTGAATTCAGGGCTGCCCATGGCCCAGTCCCATGCCCTCAATCCTCTTCCTCCACTTATCCTTAAGCCTCAATTTATATATATATAAATTTTTTTCTACTCCATTTCCTTTACTTAGGCCTCAATTTACACGTCACTTCCTCAAGGAGCCCTTCCTTTCCCCTCAGATCTAAATGAAGACTCCCTTGCACTCCCTCCCAACCCCCTATGTGTTTCTTTCATTGTACTTTCTTCCGTGGGATGAATGACCATCTCTCCAGAGGGCTGCAGCCACAGCCAGCGGGGCCAGGACCGTCCTTCTCAGTCACAGGCAGCATTCAGACTTTGTCCATAGTGGCCACTCAGGAAATCTCAGGTAACACACCTGACTAACTGATGGATTAATAACTTAATTAAGAAGACGCCTAGTAGAACAAAGTCTGAGGAGAAGCTGGTGCTTCCCCACAGTGGGTACTGCTTCTTTTGGAGGGTACTGGGTTTGCTTCTGCCCAAGGCATTTCATTTTCTCAGAATATCTACTCTCCAGGTTCCCAGCATCCTACACAGTCCCAGCAACACAATAAATATATTTTGAATGAATTGATAGACATTATTCAGGTTCAACATCATGGTAAATTTCTCAAAGAAATACAAGGTAGGGAAGAGCAACGTGAGAGAATCAGAATATTAAAGTTTATGTTTTTCAAGGAATAAAAACTTTCATTTGTTTAATTAGTGGGTTTTTACTTTGGCATCATGCTTAGAAAATTCTTTTTCTCTTCCTCAACCAAGATGATATAACTTGACCTACATTTTCTTGCAGTGCTATTCTGGTTTCTTTCTTCTTCCTTCATTTTAAAAAACATTTTAAAGCTTTAATACATCTGGAAATTCATTTGATACAAAGTCTTACTCCAATATTTTTAATGTTCATTTCCCCAAAACCATCCCATTGATTTTTTTTTCATTAGTTCAGTGGGAATAAAAATGTGTCCTTCACATTTCCTCAAAAAGCGGGAGAAACTCGGCAGAATCAGTGTGAAATGTGCCTTCTCTTCTTGACAGAAAGGTCCTCAATTAACACCAAACCATAATAATAATATTTAAAACTGAAAAAGCGAATAGAACCACTTGTACCTTTTTCACATGAAAAAGGTTAGATCAACATTTTTACATGAAGAGGGCTAGGAGAGAATTCCAAATGCTCTCACTGTGGCCACAGGGTAGACAGAGCTTCTCGTTAGAATAACCATCTTGCCAAGAGCAAGGACAACGTGCTTACTTTTGCATCCTCAACGCCCAGAACAGTGTCTAGGACATAGCAGGTGCTCAATAAATGTCCAATTCAGAAGAAATCCTCCCTCAAGTAAAGTGTAATTTGTATGTTATTTAAATTACAAGGTTACTTAAAAACACCATTTCTATTTTCTCCATGGCCTATCCATATATCATCCTATCCTAGAGAGCTATGAAGGTTAAGCTACTTCTGATAAGATTCCAACAGACCTACTTTAGGGAGACTGAGTCAGGGCTCACCACAGTGGCCACACCGACTGCAGCTGAGAACTAACATCATTCTTCAAAATGCTCTCTTTAGCCTTTCCCATGTTTGTTGTGCTAATAGCCCAAAGCCACTGTAGGACCATTGTGCATATATTGCACGCAGCATATTAAAACTTCCTGACTTTTAGTGTTAGTTGTTTAAGTATCCCTCCCACTACTGACCATTCATTTTAGCTCCATATTGCATTAGGTTTATCAGCAATTTAAGAGAATCCTAACGGGTCTTGGATAAACACCCTGTGGCTTGCTGGAGAGCTGGAATCTGAGGCTGGCAGCTAACCATTGAGCTCTGTCCCAAGTCCTGTCTTTCTATCTTTTATTTATTTATTTATTTTTGAGACAAAGTCTCACTCTTGTTGCCCAGGCTGGAGTGCAATGGCACAATCTCTGCTCACTGCAACCTCCACCTCCTGGGTTCAAGTGATTCTCCTGCCTCAGCTTCCTGAGTAGCTGGGATTATAGGCACCTGCTACCATGCCCGGCCAATTTTTGTATTTTTAGTAGAGATGGGGTACAGGCGTGAGCCACTGCGCCCAGCCTTTTTAATGCTAGCCCAGTTTTGCCTGAGCTTCTCCAGACCTCCCTCTGCCTCTCTCTGCTGCAAGCAGAGGTAACTGATTTCCACTTTTCTTTTTCCTCCCGCTGCAGTGTAACTTGGCTTCACTGCCAAACCCCTGCGGCCACCTCCAGCCTTGTGGAGACTGACGCAGGAAGATAAGTTTCCCAGTGGACCAGAGGAGATCAGCCAGAGTATGAGAGTGCCTGGCAGGGAGGAAGGGAAAATGAGGGGAAGAGAGGGTGCAGGAAAATAATAGCAACAGAGAGAATAATTAATAAAGCAGGCTTCCAACTGACAGGCTGGTTTCTAAAAACTCAGCTCGAAGTCACTTATTTGGCATTTGAAATGCACTTTCCATACCAGTATCATAGCACATGATGACTATGTTACTTTGCTAGTACTAGTTCAGTTTATGCTTCAAATTATTTTAGTAATTTTGAATTAAAGACACTTTGAAGAGTTTTCCAAGTCTCTAACTACTTCCTGAAGCTAGCATCTTTCTTATGTGGGGAAAAAGGCGAGGTAAGGAATACATCCTTCCTCCTCTAGCCACAGCAAAGAAAGCCTCTTTCCAAAGACCCCTGCATAGTTTTATGTTCCAAAATCAGACAGTGCCTCTCATGCCATGTTACTTTAACTAACACTAGATACATTTGAAAGCATTTTTACATATATTATTGAGTTTCACTTAATTACTGCGCAAATTCTGTGAAATAAGGCATTCAGATAGCACTATGACCTATTGATGAAAATTTCAAAACTGTATGTATGACATGTACATCCAGATTATAAAGGGCCACCAACTGCCTAGCACAATGGGTGCCAGGCACCCACCTCAGCCTCCCAAGGCACAAAGTCAGGTGAAACTGATGAGACTTCAGAACCCTGGGAAGAGGAGGAGGATGCACTTAGGGAGCGCTTTCTGTCTGCCAATGACTAGGCTAAAGGTGCTACATTTCTTCTTCGATTGATTTTATATTTAATGTAGGAATTCCCAATTATAGAAGACAAAACTGAATCACAATGGCGAAGCACACTTAATATGCGACAGAACCAGGGTTTGAGCCCACCCAGTCTTGTCCAAGGCTGGGCCATAACATTATAATTATCTCCTAAACTTCCCAAAAGCTTTCTGCAGAGAAAAACCTAGTCACAAACAAAAGACGAAGAGTCAAAAAACCTCAGACTTTCTAGCAGCAGCAGTGGATGCTGGAAGACAATGGAATAACGCTTACACCCTGGCAGGCTACACACTACAAACTATCTGAAGTATGAAGTAGAATAAAACACTTTGAGCAGAGGAGCTCTTGAAAGTTTCTTCTCATGTGCCTCTTCTCAGGGGCGACTGAGGACAAGCTTCACTCCAAAAAAGGGAGTAAACAAAAACAGAAACTTGCAGCAGGTTCCAGGAGGGAGTCAGGGAGGGAGGACGGAGCTAATAGATTATGTGACAGATTCGTCTGTGTGGAAAGTTGGAATGAGAAATATACTACATAGCTATTGGAATGGTGAGCAAATACAAAAACAAACATTTGAATAAGAAATATAATCAAGGTCTATACTACTGGACTCAGAGGTGAACAACGTTTAGACTTAAGAGTTAAAAAAGAGCCTGAGTAGAAGTTCAACAAATATATTAAAACTATATTAGGAGAAGGAGGAAAGTGAAAATGCTAATGCATAAGGGAAGATAAGAGAGATAAATTCTTATCTTTTATAATGGAAAGTCAGTAGATAAACAAATCTAAAATACCAAGAAGTAGCAGAACACGCACATGATCATTATTTAGAAGAATACCAGAAGAGATACCTTAAAGAGCAGAAAGTATTTTTTTTCTGTACAGGGAAAATCAGAAATGGGGCAGGAGGGTGGAGTTGACAGGAATCTGCTGCTTTTCATTACA